>NC_000023.11:34543196-34693553 GCF_000001405.40 Homo sapiens
ATTCAGGACAAACTATTTTGCACAATCTCTGAAATATTACAGACAAAGTGATTTGTGTAAAAAAAGAACATAAAGAGAATATAAGCATAAGTACTCAAAAAGAGATTGTTGGAAGCAATCTTCTATCTATAGCCAAGTAGGGAAGTCATTGAGTCTTCTCCCTAAAAAGCAGTTATAAAGCTGAACAAAACTGATTTAAAACAAAAGCATTGTCAGCACTCTTGAAATTATCCAAAGGGAAACAACAAATAATCTGAGTAATTTCCTCCAATGCAAAAAGGCAATAAGGAAATTGTCTTAGTCCATTTGGCTGCTATAACAAATGCTATAACACCTTAGAGTGGGTAATTTATAAACAAAAGAAATTTATTGCTCATAGTTCTAGAGGATGAGAAGTCCAAGATCAAGGTGCTAGCAGATTTAATGTCTGATTATGGCCCATTCCTCATAAACAGTACCATCTAGTTATATCTTCATATGGCAGAAATGGGGAACAAGCTCCCTCAGATTACTTTTATAAAGTCACTAATCCCATTTATAACACCTTTGCCCCCATGACCTAATAACCTCCCCCAAAGTCCTCAACTCTTGATGCTGTCACATTGGAGATTAAGTTTCAACATATGATTCAGGGACAACATAAACATTAAAAGCATGGAAGGGAAGAAGGAGGGAAGGAAGGAAGGAAAGAAGAGTAAGTTAAAGGTAACAAAATATAAGAAGAAGAAACGGGCCGGGCGCGGTGGCTCACGCCTGTAATCCCAGCACTTTGGGAGGCCGAGGCGGGCAAATCACGAGGTCAGGAGATCGAGACCACGGTGAAAGCCCGTCTCTACTAAAAATACAACAAAAAAAAATTAGCCGGGCGTGGTGGCGGGCATCTGTAGTCCCAGCTACTCAGGAGGCTAAGGCAGGAGAATGGCGTGAACCCGAGAGGCGGAGCTTGCAGTGAGTCGAGATCACGCCACTGCACTCCAGCCTGGGCGACAGAGCGAGACTCCATCTCAAAAAAAAAATAATAATAATGAAGAAGAAGAAATGAAACCATCCATATATGAAGATGACATAGTGACATAGTCCCATATGTAGACAATGCCACAAAATCTGGAAAAAAAAAACTGGACCTAGTAAATGAGTTTAGCAAGATTGTATTAAATGGCATGTGAAATTATACTATAACCATCAATTGTATTCAGATGCCACATGTGGTGTTTAAAAAAGAAAATAAATCATTGTATTTCTATATATTAGCAATGATCACTCCAGAAATGAAATGAAGAAGCAGTTTTATTCACAGTAACATCAAAAAGGATAAACAACCAAAAATACATTTACCAAAAGCGGTTTATCACTTGTACACTAAAAACTACAAAATATTTCTGAGATACATAAAGTGACATATAAGTAAATGAAAATGATCATGAATTAAACGACTCAATATTGTCAAGACGGTAATTTTCCCAAAGGTCATCTATAAGTTTTCTGGCAATTGGTATCAAAATCCCATCAAAATTTAGAAATTGGCAAGCTTATCTTAAATTTATAAAGAAAATCAAAGGACTTAGAATAGCCTAAACAATTACAAACAAATAAAACACTATGCAATTTCAAAACTTAATAGAAAGCAACAGTTAACAAGTAAATGTGGTATTGCCAAGGATAAATATATACATCAATGGAGAAAAGTTAACTGTCTAGAAATAAAAGATTAATATTCATGGTCAATTAATTTTCAACAAGATGACAATACAATGGGGAAAGAATAATCTTTTCAAGAAATGAAATGATGCTGGGACAATGCATTATCCATAGGCAAAAAAAAAAAAAAAATACTTTAGACTCTTATCTCACACCATACACAAAACTTAATCCAAAATGGATAATAGACCTAAATGAATGAGATAAAACTCTCAAAATTTTTAGTGTTTTTTTTTATTGTGGTAAAACACACGCACACATAACAAGAGATCTACCCTCTTAACAAAATTTTAAATGTTCAAAACAGTGTTGCTAACTTATAAGCACCATTTTCTACAGCAAATCCCTAAAACTTCTTAATCTAGCATAATTGAAATGTTATACCCATTGAATATCAACTCCCTATTTTCCCCTAGGCCCTTCCCTTGGCAACTGCAATTCTACTTTCTGCTTCTATGAATTTGAATAAATTAGATACTTCATATCAGTGGCATCATGCAATGTTTATACTTCTTTAACTGGCTTATTTTCCTCATTCTTTATTTTAGTGATGATTCCCACCTCTTAAAGAGACATAATTTCCCCTCTACTCCCACCTTCCTTTACAGAAATCTTTTAGGGCCTATTATCTTCTTATGGTGGAGAAAAAAAAAAACCCTGCATCACCACAAGGTTAACAATTCTTCCTATTTATTTTAATTCCCACTCCCCCATCAAATTCAAGCAAATTAAATATAAGATTGTATTAGTCAAAAATGTTTTTTTCTGACTAAATAGGGTCTAAACCATAAGACCATTATTTGTATTCTTAACCAGAAGCCTAAACATGAGCAGTTAGTTATGAAAGCCACCAAAAACTGTGGCTTTTAAATTCTTTCTGTCTGCCACCCTTACCATATTCGCTTTTAATCCTCAGATTAAAATTTGTGACTTGCTGCCATCCCAGGCATCAGGGTCTCATAACAGAATTCCAAGCAGAAAGTAAGGAGAAAGGATAAAAGTTCTTCCCCTCTGAGATTGTTTTGTTATCCAAGATAAAAATCTTTCAGAACGTTCACAGCAATATTGTCTTGGGTTTCATTATCCAAAATCTCATCACATGACCATTCCTAGCTGCAAAGGAGAGTGGAAAATTAGTGTCTAACATTCTTTGGGTCTGGGCACAAAAAGTGCCAGGGTATTATCAGAAAGAAATAAAGGGTGGATAGATGTTAGATAGACCAATGTGTCTGCCAGAACTGCTTTTAATTAAAATAGCATTTTATTATGATCCAATATTTCTTAAGTTGTATCTATCTAAAGTTTTACCAACATTCACATAGAGATACAAGAAATTAAATTCACCAAATGCTGATGATGTTTATTTCTGAATGGTTGAATTTGGGATAATACTTTTGCTTTTATCTTCATCCAGTGCTTGGATCATTTTTGAACATGTATCAATTTTATAATATTAACAAAACAATTATTCTTTTAAAACACTTTAAAAATATTTTTTGTGAAAATCAAAATGTTTTCAATGATGGTGTATTGTTAGTCCATTCTCACATTGCTATAAAGACCGACCTGAGAATGGGTAATTTATAAAGAAGAGAGGTTTAATTGGCACATGATTCCACATGTACAGAAAGCATGGCTAGGGAGTCATCAGGAAACTTACAATCGTTGCAAAACTTCAAGGGGAAGTTGGCACATCCTACATGACTGGAGCAGAAGGAAAAGAGAGAAGGGGGATGTTTCACACACTTTTAAACAACTAGATCTCATGAGAACTCACTCACTATCATGAGAACAGCAAGGGAGAAGTCCACCTCTATGATCCGGTCATCTCCCACCAGGCCCCTCCTCCAAAACTGGGTATTTCAATTCGACATGAGATTTGGGCAGGGACATAAATTCAAACCATATCAGACAGTATTGTTGCTAGTAACAGATCTATCTGGAAAGGCATTAAAAATTAGTTTTCAGTCTGTAACATACTGATATCCCTGAAGTTATCTAGTCTTTGAGAAAAGTGATCTGAGCACAAAGAAATCTAACTTTCTATAATAAATGTGTATTATGTTACATTTTTAAGAAAATGTTGCAGAGAACTGGTTTTTAAAATACCTTTGCAGTCAAGGCTGATTACTTCAGTAGGCCAAGAAATATATAAGTGCATGACTTAATAGTTCCATATATATATATATATATATACACACACACACACACACACACGCACACACACACATACTAACATGTGTGTGTGTGTGTGTGTGTGTGTGTGCATCTTGGTTTGTGTTGCTCTGAAGGAATACCTGAGGGTGGGTAATTTATAAAGAAAAGAGATTTATTTAGCTGAAGGTTCTTCAGGCTGTACAAGAAGCAGGATATCAGTATCTGCTTCTGGTGAGGGCCTCAAGTTACTTCCACTCAGGGTGAAAGGGGAAAGGCAGCTGATGTGTAGAGATCACATGGTGGGAAGCAAAAGAGAAAGGAGGAAGATGTTAGGCCCTTTTTAACAAGCAGTTCTCATAGCAATTCATAGAGCAAGAACTCACTCATTACCATGTATATGGTACCAAGTCATTGATGAAGGATTTGTCTCCATGACCCAAACACCTCTCACCAGGCCCTACTTCCAACACTGGGGATCAAATTCCAACACAAAACTTGTCAGGGCCAAACAAACCATATCCAAAACCATAGCAATATGACATATAGATTTTATTAGGACTCTATCAATCCAATATAAAGAAGACAGAAAATCATACAGAACAGCAGTCCAATGCTAAATTCATAAAATCCTTGTATGTTCAATGAATGTTTGGTCCCATTCCTTTTTCTGCAGAAAGTACTAATACTTCAGACTTATAATTATTTCTTCCCATATCATAACTATGTCTAATTGATTTGGCAGAGCCTCCAGTAAGACATCCCAGGATTGAGTAGCTCCATGGACAATTTCCATCAAAGAGTTTCCTAAAAAGAACTATTAATCTGCTGGGCGCGGTGGCTCAAGCCTGTAATCCCAGCACTTTGGGAGGCTGAGGCGGGCGGATCACGAGGTCAGGAGATCGAGACCATCCTGGCTAACATGGTGAAACCCTCTCTGTACTAAAAATACAAAAAAAACGTAGCTGGGTGTGGTGGCAGGCACCTGTAGTCCCAGCTACTTGGGAGGCTGAGGCAGGAGAATGGTGTGAACTCAGGAGGCGGAGGTTGCAGTGAGCCGAGATCACACCACTGCACTCCAGCCTGGGCGACAGAGTGAGACTCAGTCTCAAAAAAAAAAAAAAAAAAAAAAAAAAGAACTATTAATCTACACCAGTAACTGGTCAAAATATTTCTGCTAACCAAAGATGTTGCCTACTTTCACAAAGAGTGAGACAGTGAAAAATTAGGCAACACTCAACATTTGATTTTCTGCAATCCCTTCTTCCTCTTTTATTTTTCCCATGAACAGATGAAAGAAGAGGGAGGATGAATAACCACCAAGCATAATTAACATTTGTGTCATCACTGAAGATTTAAAACAAGAGTACTACGAATAAGTTAGGAAACATTGATTACATTAAATTATAATTAAGCCAAATACCCTAGTCCAATGGTTATAAAACTGTGGCTTCCAGACTAGTAACATCAGCATCACCTAGAATTTGTTAGAAATGCAAATTTTGGGGTCCCTACAGGGCCTACTGAATCAGAAACTTGTGTGGGTAGAGACCAGAAATCTGTAGCTTAACAAGCCCTCTAGATGATTCTGTACATCCCTAAAGTCTGAGAACCCCTGTTCTAGTCCTTTAGCCTACTCGGTTTTCTCCAAGTCTTTATCTTTTTTTCCTTTCTCTTCATCTTGTGCTTTACTCTAACTAGTGGGTCCAGAGGGAATATTACTTGTCCTCATATTAGAACTTAGCACTAAGCTTCTATTTTTGCCTCTACGATTATGATATACATCAATTTAAAATTATATATGCCCAGAAAAGGGGAAACCAAGAAGCTTCCCCAATATAATAATGTGTTGCTGTTGTTGTTGTTGTTGTTGAGACAGAATCTCACTCTGTCACCCAGGCTGGAGTGTAGTGGCACGATCTCGGCTCACTGCAATCTCCACCTCCCAGGCTCAAGGGATTCTTATGCTTCAGCCTCCCCAGTAGCTGGGACTACAGGTGTGCGCCCCCATGCCTGGCTAATTTTTGTATTTTCAGTAGAGATGGGGTTTCACCATTTTGGTCAAACTTGTCTTGAACACCTGGCCTCAAGTGATCCGCCCACCTTGGATTTACAAAGTGCTGGGATTACGGGTGTGCCTGGCCAAATAATGGATTTTTACAATGGAATGCAGACCCCTAAATATCTAAGGTCTAGCTCGTCCTAGAATGTTCCAAATGAACAACACTGCACTGAAATGTATTAGAAAATTAGAGCTCTCAAATTAGTCTCATCTAGGGATGCCTATTAATATACAGAAGCTTCTAAAATATTTCTCCATTTGTATTTAAGGTCTTTACAAAAGGCAAATTAAAATTTAAGCAACTAATTGATCTAAAAAAAAATATAAATCTGCCTTGCACTCTTTGCTGACAGCTATGGGTGACAGGATTAGACACATACAGGACCATGGAACATGGGGAATTTTTTGTCTCCCCAAAGGGGGAAACTTGGGGGCGTATGGGAATGCTGGAAAAGATCCCTTCATGGATGGCAAGTGGCTGTCTGAACTTTTGATTCAGTGTTGCTGCAATGAGTGGGTCTTTCTCTGGTCTCCCCGAGGTTCTTGCCTTCCCCATCTCACTGCAGGCAATGCTTTTCTCTCTCTCTTTGTCTCTTTTTTCTTTCCTATCTTTTCTTTACTCAGGATGACCACCATGCCCAGAGACCACATGTTAAAACTCCTTTAATCTTCTTTGAAGGGATTAAAGATGACAGAGCCCAACCAGTGGCAAGTTTAAGCCTGGCCCGTTCGATATTGGGCACTAAGCAGAGTGGCTAATGTCTATGTTTTGTCACATATATTTTGCTCTGACTGGAATGGAAAGTGTTAATTTGGGTCCTCCATGCAGCTGGTTGCGTGGCAACTTACAAAATTGATAAGCTTTTGCCTATGGTTCCACGAAACCAAAAAAGATGATTTTCCTTTGTGTTGTGACTTGGGCCCCATGGCTATGGAGCAGCTGGCAGGGTTGCTAGTGCCACTCAAGGAAAGGGAACCCGGGCACATGTCAGCAAAAAGGGTAAGGATTTCTTAGCAGTCAGACTTCTGACCTCTCTGTCTCTGTGCAAACTGGTTGAATGAATGGTAAAAATCACTGTTTATCTCCTCTGTAAAGTTTTGACTAATGGGAAAAAAAGATTTGTGAGGTTAGTTTTAAGCTGTAGCAAATCTGTTGTACTTTGTGCTATGAATTTGTTCTTCCCCATTGTTCTGTCATAAAAAGGGGTACCACCACAGGATAGAATGCAGGCCTAGGACCCCCAGAAGCTCACTGTTCAAGCCAGCCCAGCAAACTAGTCAGTTGCAAGTCCCTGAAACAACAACAACAACAAAACTGGATAAGGTTTTCCTCTTGTCTTGTTTTAAACTCTTGGGAGCTTGACCTTGTAACCACATGGTGGTACTTTCTCTGCCATCCAGGGAACAGGATTTGAGGGTTTATGTCATAGTTAGCTCTAAAAATCATCTTGAGCAATTAAAAGCCATTGCAACAAGCTCAAATTTTACTGCTCTAGGCTCCTTCTGGGAAGAGTAATAGAAACCATCCAAATGCTGTAGCTTAGCAGCTAAGGCTTTGCAATTTTATAATGGTGACCTAGGTTCAATCCTGGCTTAGGGAATAAGTACTTTCTGTGTGACCTTTAACCATTTATTGATTCTGTTCTTCTCCATGAGCAACTTCTGACTTCCCATCTTGAAGTTTCCTTTCTCTGAGCACCTGGGGGTTTACTTCTGGGTAAAGTGCAAAAGCCAGAAATATTTGCTATTTTTAGTTTCTTTCTGGCTAGAGTCGGGTAATAAGATATTTGGTTAAAAGTCAGCTTAATTAAAAGCAGATATTCAATCTATAGACATATTTTTAAAGTTTTTATGTTTTTTCTCTCTTCTTAGATCTTGGAGTTTTGTGTGTTTTTTTTTTTTTTAAGTGTTTTTCTTTTCAGTCAACTGAATTGTTTTTCTCCATTTTGTCTTCTTACCTCTCTTGATGCACACATGAGGGGACCTAAGATAACTTCTAACGTGTTGTAACTCCTTGGAAAAAACAGAGGAGATGCCACAGATCCCATTTTGGGAAAAAAACTCTGTTTTCCTCATGAAATCACAGTAATTGAAAGCAAATAGATCCCTCTCAAAATCTAAGGCTAAATATACTTTTGTGGGTGGCAAATGGCAGTTATGGGGTGATACATTTAGGCTTTGTGTCCCTACCCAAATCTCATCTTGAATTATAATCCCCATAATGCCCACGTGTCAAGGGAGAGACCCAGTGGAGGTAATTGCATCGTGAGGGTGATTTACCCTATGCTGTTCTCATGACAGTGAGTGAGTTCTCACAAGAACTGGTGGTTTTATAAGGTGTTTGGTAGTTCCTGCTGCATTTATTATCCTTCCTGCTGCCTTGTGTAGAAGACGCCTTGCTTCCCCTTCACCTTCTGCCATGATTATAAGTTTCCCTAGGCTTCCCCATCCATGCTGAACTGTGAGTCAATTAAACATCTTTCCTTTATAAATTACCCAGTCTCAGGCAGTTCTTTATAGCAGTGTGAAAATTGATTAATACATGGAGGGGATACTCAGCTCTTTGCATGTTTGAATAAAAAAAGCATGCTCTTGGCCACCTAGAAAGTATGTAAATGGCCCCAGCCCCCACTGAGAGATAAGACTCCCATGGGAAATGAGCTAATCACAGAATGGGCTGATGAACGTTGGGTTGCTTTGCAATGAAATGCACAGTAAAATCATTGCATTGTCTTGTTCCATAGCATTTCTCTTTTGAGGATCCAGGATCCAGTATAAAAATGGAACCCTATTAGGTCAGTTTCTTCAGCTAGTGGAGGTGGGTCCCACAAGTTCAACCTGTAAGGTTGCCCTTGGAAGGAGAAGGAATCAAAGCCTGGAGCCAGGTCAGGGCTTACCTGGATCACCTATAGGGACAAGGGGAAGTGAACCCTCAGAAGAGCCAATGTCACAGTGCAGGAGATGGGGATGTACAACCATCCAAAACAACTTGTGGCTTTAAGTTTCAAGCTTTAAGACCAGAAGGGTCAATTTTTATGTTTATCCAAAAACAACTGTTTATGGGACTATTAGGTTGGTTTCAGTAGCTACATGTAGCCACTGAGCACCTGAAAGGTGGCTGGTCTCAGTTGAGATGAGCAGCAACCATAAAACACACATTAGATTTTGAAGCTTGGTACGATGGAAAGAGTGTATCTCACTAATAAGTTTTTTATATTGATAACATGTTGAAACAGTAGTATTTTTGATGTATTGGATTAAATAAAATATATTATTAAAATTTTAAAAAATGGGACTGTGAATTGTTGGGGATGTGTTTAGCCTTCCAGCTGTGCTTGCTAATTAAGCCCTAGAAACTGCATGTTTTCCTTGACCTCTTCCTAGAAGGACTCCACCCTGAAACCAGTAATGCAATTAAGAAACTTAGAGACTGGCAAATAAAAAATTGTACAATCACTGGATTTTCTTCTGTCTTTCTGTGTATTTATATGTGTTCTGTGTGCGTCATTTACCTATGAAAGAGCTCTGATTAATTGGCTTGAAAATAATAAGCTCTTTAATCAAATATTTTGTTAGGAAAATAAAAACAATAGTACCTTTTAGTTCATGTGACTTTAGTAGGCCTTGGAAAACAAAGAGTTTTAAAGATTATTGGTAAAATAAAGACATTTGGTCTAAATTAGGCAGGTCAGATATTAGATTTGCTAAATGCTTTAAGGTAATAAACTGCTTCTTTGACTTTTGACAGTTGTTCAACTTACCTGATTTGGAGCCATTAGCCTAGGTAAGGGCTAGGGACATGTGGAGTTAGCCAAGGCTACTGGCTATGCTGTAAAGAGTTAGACTTTATCTGCACATCTGTCTTGTGTTCTAGGCTCCACACCTAATACATAATTAAAATCACTTAGCAAGCCTTTCACTAAAAATAAAAATTGCTAAGAGATAACATTGTAATGTAATTGAGACTATTGAAAAAACAGTTTTACATGCAAAGTGTGTGAGGAAAGTGAAATGTGCTTTTGGCAAAAGATGATAAGAAGGCCTAGAAATACGGATTTTTTTGCTTGGATTAAAGGGTTAAAAGGTTATTTTAAATTAGAAAGGATAAAGCTGAAAATTTGACCAAGTTATGGAAGGTTGTGAGAGATTAATCTTGTAAAAGAAATATCTAGTGAAAATTAAAGGGGTATTATTCAATTTTTCTGTAAATTGAACATTGGGGTAAAAGCAAAACAGGATTTTCTTAGACCACTGATATGCTTTTTAATAAAAATTCATAAAGGGTTATAAAAGGTTTATGAGAATCTCACTTTATGGTCTAATTGTATAAGACTGGATATATTCGTATATAAGGTTTTATTAAAAATTGGGGTTGACATTAGGAGTACACTAATGCAAGCCTAAAATTCAGCTTTCTTGAACAAAATTTTCATGTAATATTGAAGGATAATGAAATATTTTTATCTGCCATTTGAATAAACTACAGGAAAAAGAAAGAAAAGACAAGACACAATTTTTCTGGAAAGCTAAGTCTTCCCTCTATCAATGAGTAAAGGTTTTTGCCTTTTTAAAATTTTTGAGTCATTATTTTGGCTAAATGAATAACTTATGGTGACCTGGAATTATATTTTTATAATATCAAGTGTTTTAATCCTTCAACATATTTGACAGGCTTCCCCAAATCAAATTTCAGCTTCAAAATTGTCTTTTCTAATCTCTAACTTTGGGATGCTACAGAGGGCGCCTGAAGCATCCAAAAGAGAGGTAAATAGGATTATTTGACATGTTAAGTTACATGGGGAGCATTGTCAAAATAAAAAATAATGTTTAACCTTCTTCAGGTTATATTTTAGTGAATGGTGTTAATGTATGTTCCAAAATTTTATGGAATTTTTAAAATTCTAATTGTCTGATTATACGTTATTAATCATAATTATGGTTATTAATGTTAAGTTATTGTAGACCACAGAAATAACCAAATTTCCTTGTCAATTGTGTCTTTAACGATGAGTGTTTAAAGTCATTTCCACAGTTAATTGCTTAATTCTGATGCAGTTTCTAAAAAAACATCACAAGCACTCAGAATTCTAGAATATGGTGTCTTTTAGGAGGTTCATGAAAGAATGGAAAGAACCCTGAAAAGCACTCTTGAATACGGGTTTCTGGTAACTTTAGAATCATATCATTTAGACTGGGTAAGAATTCCTGGAACTATAATTAAAAGACTGACTGGTTTATAAACCTACTAACCCAAGGAGAACAAAAATTAAAAGAATACCAAAAAAATTTGCCAGATTTTCATGCTAAATCAGCGAATACTGAAATTGTTTAGATATACAACTTGAATGAACTCCATGGTCTAAGTAAAATGACCTATGATAACCCATCAGTTATCAGTGCTATGGACCTAAATTGGAGAAACAACCGGTATTCAAGAGGACATAAGACCAATGTTAAGCATGGACTCTTGGAGAACCCTGACAGCAGCCTTGTCCTTCCTGAGTCCTTAAATCTTTCGTATTAAAGGTTCTGCGTTCCATGACTCATCATGAAAAAGATAAAATGATCCAAATTAAATATATATTGGTGTGGTGACTTCTAAATTGCTGAAATCGTTTATAACCAATGTTTGGTTTGTCAAACCCATATTCCTGGGAAGACAATCAAAGCTCTAGGTACATTTGGCTACCTGATGGGCCATTTAAACATTTATAGAGGGATTAAATTCAGTTGTCACATTCAGTGCATTTTTTCTGGTTGTACAAAAGCTTTCCCATGCAAGAGGGCTGATGTTATAACAGTAGATATGTTATGCCACAGGGTATTTTCACCAGGTAAAGGAAGCTTTTTATGCCTGAGGACAATCAACTTCTTCACAATCTAGAACCTGAAGATTGCATCTTCTGAGAACATCAGAGAAAGACTGCCCTTTCCATCCACACTACAGAAAAACTTTGCGACCTTGAACTTTGAGATTATAATTTCACAACCGAGAAGGTTGCCTCCACAATCTTGGAACTGTACACCCATTGGAACCCTTAAGGTAAAGCCTACCAGGGAAGTTTCTCCCCAGAAGAAGCTGGCATCTTTGATGTGAACAGCTTTTCCCAAGATCATGGATTAAGACTTCTCTACTACCATGAGGCTCTTACCTTTTAGTATTTTTTCCCTTGCTTATGTCTCTAAGGACAATAGAAGTGAAAAGGGGATCAGTTGTGTGCACTCATGGGGTATACTTTTATTTGTGAAGGATTTTGCAGCCAGCCTTACACATGCATAACCTTATACCTTACTAGATGGAAGATGAAGGCCCAACGTAGATGATAAATGTTAATGGTACATACTTTGCCTCATAATCAGTCAGAAACAGAACACTGGTTCACCCCTCTTAACCTACATCATGGGCTAAAGAAAAAATCTCTCAGAGGCCTTGACTTTTCTAGAAAGGCATCATTTGTGTGGTCCTTTTTCCATGGTTTGGAGTAAAAGAGGCGATGATTAGAAATGTATCCCTCATGACAGGCTGTATAGCAGACTCTACTATAAAGGCTATGGTTACGCAACAGACTTTAAATTATCTTGCGAAAGTTATGCTAAATAATGGAATTGCTCTAGATTAGTTACTGGCTAAACAGAAGTATCTGTGCAGCTGCGGGCACTTGTGCCCTATGGAAAAATACATCAAATGTAGATTATAGAGATTCGGTTGCAGGGAATTAACGAAGAGACTGCTTAGTTAAATGAGTAGACCCTTTATGTAGCTCATTATTTAATCTATTTAATTCTAGGTGGTTTGGTTTATGGGGACCCTGGGCAAGGAGCATACCTCAAACTCTTGATACTATCCTCCTGATCATCATGCTGTATTGTCTCAAAAGTTTTAAGCATTTGCATGCAGCCATCTCTAGAATGTCAAGTGGTCTGTCTTCAACTGAAATGACAAGAGCCAAAATAAATGTCTGGCCATGAGGGCACCATAACCTATGAATGACATGCTGATACCAGAATCCCAAAATGATGGTAACTGAGAGTGGTACTAGGCCCTAAGTTTTGGTCACACTCTCACCTAAGTGAGAATCTGACCAAAAGAGGGGAGTCTTATTAAACTAAATTATGTGAGGCAATTGTTTTGGACTGAGCTCATGCACTAGGCCTCAACAGACCAGACCAAAGCAAAATGGAGTCACTCATGCTAAATATGACATAATCAAACTAAGACTTTAAGACAACACAGACCAGGTTTTGTTTTTCTCCTGTGAACAGAACGTTCCAGCATAAAGAGGTACCTTCTACTCAGTCCTTGTTCCCACCTTGCAAAACCCACTGCTCTACCATTTCCCAGTGGATTTCAAGACCAAATAAGTACATTTACAATGGTGAGGGTGACATCAATGACTAAAGTTTTTATCAATCTCTCAAAATTGAGAAGATGACCAAAAGCGGGGAATAGTTAAATCAAGTTTCGGCTAAAGCTGCCTCCTTACATATTTTAAGTTCTGCCTAAAGGTTTCTCTGTATATCGTGAACTATAACAAGTGGAGGTGTAAATAGACTGCAGCTTACACTTTTGCCAATCACCAAGTTTTGGCCAATCAAATGTAGCCAGCTGTTTGAACTGTGTTCAAATAAGGCAAACATCAACCTGTAACCAATCCAGTTGTTTCTGTACCTCGCTTCTGTTTTCTGCACATCGCTTTCCTTCTTCTGTCCATAAATCTTCTTCTACCATGTGGCTGCACTAGAGTCTCAGAGCCTACACTGGCTCAGGAAGCTGCCTGATATAAGAACCATTCATTGCTCAATTAAACTCCTTTGGATTTAATTTGGCAGAAGTTTTTCTTTTATTACTGCAGTTAATTTTTTGCTTCATGGCTGGGGCTGGTGTCTCTCGTCTGAAATGTTCAATGGTGGGGATGGGGACAGTGGGGATCCACTTCCAAGCTCATTTATCTATATGTCAGTAGGTCTCAGTTTCTCTCCAGGTAAAGCCCCTTTACAGAACTTCCCTCACAACATGGCAGCCAGCTTCCTCCCATGTGAGGAATGCAAGACAGAGTAACAGAGAGTGCTCAAGACAAAAACCACCATCTTTTTATAACCTAATCCCAGAAGTCACATTTCATCACTTCTGTCATATTCTTATTTGTTAGAAGTGAGTCAGTAACTTCAGCCCATTTTCAAGAGAAGAAGATTACAAAACAGTGTAAAAATCAGCAGGCAGGGATCACTGTAGGGCAATTTAGAGGCTGCCTACCAAACTAGCATACAAACACAAAGTACTGTCTTGCTTTCTTCTCCAGATTCACAGAAGTCCTTAATTTTTCTCCAAAACTGAATTTTCATTTTTGGGCAATTATGATGTATATCATTAGATATTATTTAGTTGTAACTGGGGAAAAAGTGCTAATACTATGTATTTTTTAACAAAACATAAAAAAGGCTGTTTTGAATTTCAGGAAGAGGTAGGGATGCTAAAAGTATTATAAAGATAGAGTATGTATATAGCTATCAACATAGATGTATAGATATTAAGATGGATAGTATATTACTGTATCATTTAAGGTGTTGGCAGGAAACAGATTGTACACTTAAAAGTGTTGACTAAAAGATACATTTTAAAAGGACCTATTTACAGAGATGTTGACAGAGCTCCACAATCTAACAAGGGACTAGTGACAGCAGAAAGCCATTATGGGCCCAGGGCCAGGAAAGACAAGAGGAGGAAAAGGTGGTACCTTAACTTGGAGAAAGCTGGAGCCTTGGAACACAGAGTGACCTTTCGTATGTATATGAAGCACAACTGGGGATCCTATTTAAATGGAGATTCTGATTGAAGCAAGCCAGGTATTCTGCATTTTTAGCAACTCCCAGGTGCTCCTGATGCTGCTGGTTCAAGGATCACACTTGAAATAGCAAGGGCCTAGTGACTCAACCACTGCAGAACCTCAAGGAAGCAGGGAAGAAACAGAAAGAATAAACCCATCAGTATCTCTTTCCTCCTCTCTTCCCACCTCCTAGAAGTGCCTCCCACTGTTTAAAATTAATCAAAAGCCGAAGGCAAAGACTGGATGATGTAGTCTATGAGAATGTTCCTGAGGCTCAGAGTGGAGCAAAAACAGCCATATTATACATAACGCCTTGTTTGTGTGGTTTCCTCACACACATACCTGTCAGTACTCAGCTAAATCAAGAAGGCTCCACTGTGGATCACCAGCATTCTCTCTGCTTAGCTCTCTCTTTACAGATAGCTTGTCCTATGAACTCTAGATGCTTTGGTTTCCCCAGACGTTCATCTCTGTCTTTTCAACATAAGGAGTCTGCTGGGTTAGAACTAGGTCCCTCTTTTCCACACGGTCTTTTCCATATTCCTTTTTTTTTTTTTTTTTGCTTCTTTCTGAGATTGTTCATTTTTGGGTATTTCCAATATATTTCTTGCCTTTTGGATATTTCAGAAAGGATGGTGCTGTAGTTTAGATGTTTATTCCCCCAAAGCTCATATTGAAATTTGATTCCAATGTTGGAGGTGGAGCCTAATGGGAGGTGTTTGAGTCATGAGGCAGATTCCTCATGAATAAATTAATGCCCTCCCTGGGGTGATTGGAAGGCTATGTAACTCTTATTAGTTCCTATGAGAGCTTTTTGTTAAAAAGAGTGTTGCACCTTCCCTCTGTTTTTCTCTTGCTTCTTTCCTTGCCATGTGATTTTGGCACATGCTGGCCCTCCATTGCCTTCTGCAATGAGTAGAAGCAGTCAGAGGCTCTCACCAGAAGTGGATGCAGGTGCCATGCTTCTTGTACAGCCTGCAGAACCATGAGCCAAATAAGTCTCTTTTGTTTATAAATTACCCAGCATCAGATATTCCCTTTTAGCACTGCAAATGGACTTGCACAAATGACAAATCCAGCCCCTGTTACTCCATCTCAGTCAGAAGCAGAGATTCCTTACATGGATTATCGTTAATAATTTATTATTTAACCAGGTGCACTCTTGGTTACAGAATCATTTTTGATTGAGTCTATAGATACTTCTCTTTTAAAGAGGATGGGGGGAGGGTAAAGGATTGTCTTTTGCAATTTGAAAGGCAAGATTATATTAGTATTCCAGCTTTATTTATTTAAAAACCACTAGTGGAGAAGTGTTGTAGAACTTTGCTCCTTAGTGTAGCTAAAACCTAGCTTCTTGTCACATGACCAGAAAAATTTAGGCACACAGACACATTGAAGTGTGAGTATAGCAGGACTTTATTTAGCAAAAAGGAAAAAATGAAAAAAAAAGAAGTCAGCAAAGTGAGATAGAGACCTGCTAACAGGCTCTCTACCTCATAGATTGATTCCCAGGTCACCACATAGACTGAAGAAAGCAGGCTCCTCCCCTGCATAGGGTGTGAATTCCCTGTGGCTCCACCCACTTCCCCCCACTTCTCCACCCACTTCCTCCACCCACATCCCCCATGTGCATGTTGGGCTCCAGTCCACTGTGGGCATGCCCAGACAAGCCCTGGCAAGCTTCCCTCATCTGCACAAAAACATCTAATGTAAATACTTGTGGGGCAGGTCAGAGATTCTCCAGGGACCCCTTATTATCTGCCTTGGCCTTTGACTGTCTCATTCGCCCCTCTAAAGAAGTACATCTATCTGCTGTTAGAGTAAAGATAAGGAGAAGGACAAAGATCAATCTTAACTGCTTCCTGATGACAGGGGGTACTGTTTTGGGAAAATGGCAGTCAGATCTTCTTCTGACTATCTAAGGGTCTAAGGCTCTAAGGCAGGGTCTAAGGGTCTAAGACAGCCTATCTAAGGGTCCCCGGCAAAAGGGGCCATCATCCGAGGCTCTGGTTGCATGACCATTTGGAGTTTGATGGCCTGAAGGTGAGAAGAGAAAAACTGGGTTATTAGAAAACATATATCAAAACAAATAAGGCGGGGGGCGGATTATGGACAGCTCAAGAAATCCCGAGTCCTTTTACTCGTTTGCACAGGGAGTGGGAGGCCAAAAGTCTGACTGGTATAAAAAGAAAAAAAAAAAACAAACTTTTACCCTGTTGCCAGCATGTCAGGATTCCGGGTTCCCTTCCCCTGAGCCCAATCCTAAACCAACCAGTCTAAGGTTTGGGAAATTAACTCTTCCCAGTTTGGAGGATGCACCTGAGAAGAGTGTCCCATAGCGCATAGTATAAAAACACAATTACCTAGCTGTGAAGAGAGGACAGAGGAGGAAAAAGGAAAAAAAAGAAGGCTTCTTTCTCAGAGGAGTCCCGCGGGGGTCAGTATGCATTTGAAAGGGGCACAGACTGAAGATGAATGGCTACTTATCTGGTTTCCTTCTCTTCTTAGCAAATACCCAGGGTACATGAGGGAGAGGAAAAGTTAGGCATTCCTCTTTCCTCCGTTCTTATATCCCTGAATTCTGGTGACTATGACAGGGTGCCACCCATGGATGTCAAAGCAGCTTTCAACCATGTTAACAGGGGGGCTTAGGGGATGGGACTATCTGCTCTTAACCACATATGCCTATCTCCCCTGCTGTCAATAGCCTTTGAATTCCCTGGAACTCATTTATGCCATGAATACTAACATGACCTTTATCCATGAAACAGGAAGCTTAGCTCAACTGGCAGGAATTAGTAATGCCTACCTGTGCTGTGCCTTTTAACTTTTGTTATCATCTTCCTCTGGATCCCTTAGATCCAGTTTTCTTTCTTAGGGCTTTGACCCAAAACTTGGAATTGAGTTTGGGACCAAAAATTTGTCTCGTGGGGGAGGGATGTTGCATGGGCTCCTTATCATAAGCCAAATGCTAAGGTGAAGCCGTGGAATTCAGTCCTTCTCCAAAAAGGGAGAGAAAAAGATGTCTTGTGACACTCCCATAAAACTGGCAGTTGTAGTTATGATCGCTAGGATTTGGGTGCATGGAGTTTGGCTTTGGTTAACTCCATTGGTCTTACTTTCCCAAAAAGAAGACCTCCGGGTGATGGGCACTCAATTTCTTCCCATCACCTGGCAGGATTTGCAGGACAATTGCTCAGAACTAGAACATTGATCCAGATTTTTAACAATACCCATCCCTCTTGTTCCTTCTGAGCTGCAGTTGGTGATCACTGGTTGGTTTACAGGAATGAGCAGTGTTAGTTTAAAATGTAGGCAAAAACTTAAAAACAACTAATGGGTCTAGAATTTAATGACAAATATACGATAGATTTTGAAACATAATTTTTCTCTCTCTAGTCCTCATTTATGTTAAAAACAAATCATTATAAGACTGTGTTGTTTGCAAAACAGACTTTAGTCTTGTACTTGGCCTAATTATTTGCATAAAATGCAGCAAGAATACTGATTTCTATATGCGTTTTATATATATATTTATTTATTTATTTATTTATTTTTATTTTATTTTATATTTTTTGAGACAGAGTCTCACTCTGTTGCCCAGGCTGGAGTGCAGTGGCATATTTGCAACCTCCACCTCCCGTGTTCAAGTGATTCTCCTGTCTCAGTCTCCCAAGTAGCTGGGATTACAGGTGTGTGCCACCATGCCCAGCTAATTTTTGTATTTTTAATAGAGACGAGGTTTTGCTATGTTGGCAAGGCTGGTCTCGAACTCCTCAATTACTTTTAAATTGTAATATCTCAATTTAAAAGTAATCTGTAATAATTATTTGACTATAGCATACTTGTCAAAAGAGGGCCAGAGATTTACCTCTGAGGTTTCTGACAGTCAATAAACAAAAAATGGACATCTATTTAGTTCCATAAATCACAGTATAAAAAGGATAACAAAAAACATACTCTACCATAATTAACCATAACCTATTTCTTCAAAATATTCTAGGTCTATCAACAATTGTATAGAAATATCTGATTTTTATATATGTGTTCTTGCGAGTAGGGAGAGGGAAAGAGATGTTGGGTATAGATTGTGTTACATAAATAATATATAACATTAATTAACCAAACTTGCTTAATCTTATTTCTTGTACATTTGATAAGCACATTCTAACACCACATCCTAATTCTATTGTAGGAAATAAAGCATTATAGCTATCCTGGGAGCAAACAGGAAATACACTCAACATTCCACAAAAATTTCTTTCCCCTTTTGAGAGTAATACCTTGAATCATGAGGTTTATGAATAGCTGTGTAAGGCTCCCTGCAATTTTCTCTGGTATTACAAACTGTGTTACACATTCATGAAACCTCACTTATCATTTGTAATTTAAATAGGAAAGTAAAGTGTTGTTGAATAATTAGCAATGTCTTGGCTTCTGTAGAATCACCTACCCACACAGGCAGAATAAATGGCTCAAAAATTGAAAGGTATAATTGAAATAGGCCGGCCTGGAGAATTTATAGAGCTATAAAAAAAAGTACGATCCTTGGGATAAATGTGAAGATTTGTGTGTGTTTGTCAGCATTAAAAACACAATCCTCAAAGCAATACTAACCTGATATCAAGAAAAATTGATATCAAAACTGTTTCTTGCTCATTCATTTTCTCCTCAGAATTAAGATGATAAATTTGTTTTAAACTAAGCCATTTAACTCGTTTTAGACAAGGTTTATAACAGTGAGGGGCCGGTTTCCCACTGGGAAATATGGCGGAATGGAATAGGAAGAAGCAGATGAAAACCAAGAAGATTTCTTCTGACGTTTTCCCCTTCCTTAAAATAATTTTGCTATTTTATGACCTTTTAGAGTAATGTTTCATTAATTTGTAATAAATTCATAAAGCAGGAAATCCTTCTCCCAAGTCTCTAAAATAAGATATAAAATAACAAGGATAGTGTTGATGAAAAGAGTCAAAGAAGAGATTTATTCTGAGCCAAATATGAGAGACCATGACCCATGACACAGCCCTCAGGAGGTCCTGAGAACATGTGCCCCAGGTGGTCAGGGTACAGCTTGGTTTTATATATTTTAAGGAGCCATGACACATCAATCAAATACATTTAAGAAATACATTGGTTTGGTTCAGAAAGGCAGGACAACTCAAAGCAGGGGCGGGGTGGGGGGGTGGTGCTTCTAGGCTATAGGTAAATTTAAACATCTTCTGGTTGATAATTGGTTGAGTTTATCTGAAGACCTAGGATCAATGGAAAGGAATGTTCAGTTTAAGATAAAGGATTTGGGAGACCAAGTTTTATTGTGCAGAGGAATCTCTCAGATAGCAGGCTTCAGAGAGAGGGCAGGTTGTAAAACGTTTCTTATAGGACCTAAAAGGGTGCCTGGCTCCTAGCTGATTATCTCCTGGATCTGGAAAGAAAGGAAGGAAAACAAAGGGGAAAGGTGATTCTCTATAAGATGTGGATTTTTCCCACAGGAGACTTTGCAGGGCAATTTCAAGGTATGAGAAGGAAATATATTTTGGGGTTAAATATTTTTTCCTTGTCTCATAATGTTATGACAGAGTCAGACTGAAAAGTAAGTCATGATATATAGGGTCAAATAAAATCCATCTGATGAGAATTTATGGTTTGTAGGGCATGACTCCCTAGACCCCTTAGGTAGGAATTTGGGTAAGATAAAAAATCAGAGCTTAGTCCTCAATAGTATTACTTATAATTTTAAAAAATAAATTAATTCACTATTTACAATTATTGTATTATAATTTTAATGATAATTGAAAGCAAGCGGGATCAGCTGCAGTTTCACAGTTAGTAAAAAGCCACTGCTTTTAATATAGTAACAATAATTATCAGTGCGAAAATTTTCCTTCTCCTTCCAAAAGAGTATTTTTATAAAGCCACTCAGAATAATTGCAATCATTGGGATGTTTTACCTTTGAGCACAATTTATGCCATACAAATGTAACTATAATAACAAAAGGCATTGTAGTACATTACTTCAGGGTAAATTTGAATGTCCTTCCTGTGGAATGACAAACTCCACCTCCAGCTGTGACTCATCTTTTTCTTCCATTGGCATTTAGTGTCATACCTTAACCAGGCTGAATGAGTCTGGTTTGTC
Organism: Homo sapiens; assembly: GCF_000001405.40. Classification (NCBI taxonomy): domain Eukaryota; kingdom Metazoa; phylum Chordata; class Mammalia; order Primates; family Hominidae; genus Homo; species Homo sapiens. Next base: position 34,564,075 of record NC_000023.11, read on the forward strand.
ATGTAATATAACCTCAAAAGTTTCTGTAAAAATTACAACTTAAGTAATATCTTCAGATTCATGGGTCCAATTTTAATAGAAATTAGAAGAGTACTTGGGTTAATTTTTATTTTTGTTCTCCTCTTTAATGAAATATATTATATTGTGCCATCAATTATAGCCAAAAAATATCTTTTTAAGAACGTAATGGATTTCAATAAGCCCTTTCCTTTGACCTCCTATTACAGTTCTTTTTTTTTTCTCTGAGAGAGCTTATGTGCTTCTTTTCTTTTGAAGACAACCCAAGATATTTCTAAGTTTTATTATCTACAATGGAGTTTTTTTCTTTAAAAGAGGATAATAAGTTTTCCTAAATGTATATAGGCTTATTTATTTATATGGATTTTTTTTTTCTTAATTCCTCACGTATAATCCCAAATAACTTTATTTGGAGTTTTGCACATGAATCAGATGGGGAATTCACCCTTACAAAGTCAGGAACAAAAATTTTTTAAACCTTATGCAGATGGCCAATACTCACCATGTCTTTTTAAAATAAGTATTGATGACCATAAGCACATAAACAAAAACTTTATTTCCAATAAATAATGTGACTGCCCTACAGTCTCCTATGAGAGACATTTAGATAATCCTAGGCAATTTATAGAATATAATAGCTGGGAAATATCTAGACATGTTATCTACTTAGAAGAAGTAAATGACAGATTCCTGCTCTGAGTACAGCAGATTATCTATTGCCTTTGAGAAATAAGTGTCAGAAAATACTGGAGGAACTCAATATTGATCGGAAAAAAGTGTGTTTTACCCTATTACTTACCTTTAAGTTTCCACTGGAAGTGTTTGCTACTTTATCACTACTGGCCTACTATCTGATTTTCCTTCCTCTAGTTTGTCACTGTATTTACATTACTATGCCTCCATAATTATCGCTAAAATGTCAATTTTATTTTTCTACTAAGATGATTAAAAGTCTTTTTTGCTTTCCCACCAGTCATTGACAGAAGTTGAAGTCCAAAGTTCTAAAACTAAATTTCTAATCATCTGGTAATCTAACTTCCAGGCTTTTTTCTCACTACTTGCCTGCAGTGGTGACCCATAGCTGCATCTATGCTAATGCTCTTCTAATACTTTTACTATTTCCTTATAAGAGTCATTATCTTTAAAATACTTGAACACTGCCTTTTATGTGTGATTTTTTTTTTTTTACTTTTCCACCCTATCTCATTCTTGTAATACTTGTAAGAACATGTGCTAAATATTTATTTACCATCTAATCCCATATTACTAGAAACGGCTTAGCATTAACAAATATGAGTGTCTAACATATTATCAAATTCCTAACTTTTATGTTGTCTTGATCTTTCATTTAAATTGTTAAATTGTTATTTATTTTCATCGTGCTGTTCTTCCATAGAAAAATTGCATCATTAGATTTCATGAGAGTAAGCAACAAAACTTTTCTGGTGTTTATTCCATTTAACCCAAATACAATGAAAAAGAAAGGCACAATTCATGTGCCGTGGATTTTATATTCCAGTGGGAGAGTGGATAAAGGTATATATAACTAATGACATAATTATTTTTAATTACAATTGTGATGAATGCTATAGCGAACAAAAATACAATATTAATATTCTTTCAATAAGTATGTTTTTACTGAATTGCTACTATGTACCAGGCATTGTTCTAAGAGAGATATTCAGATAATCCTAGGCAATTTCTAAGGGTTCTAAGCGCTGGAGACACAGCCATAAAATAAGACAAAAGTTTCATCCTCATGGAGCTATCATTCTAGGAAAAGAGACTTATAGTAATTAATTAGAAAATAAATAAATGATACCCTTTTAGCAAGTGACAGATAGTATAAAGAAAACTAATCACGGTGAAAAGAGAGACTGCTTGGCTAAGGGAATGTGGAGAGAGTTGACTATTTTTGATAAGGAATTCAGCAAAGGCCTCTCTCAGAAGGTAACGTTGGGGTAGAGACCCAAGTGATGAGGAGAGAGAACACACTTAGATTGGGGAAGAACATTCCAGGTGGAGGAAGCAGCAATATTTTACATAACAACATTTCCTTATGCATATTATGCACGTTTTCTTATGCATACTATGTGGGCAATAAGCAGCAACTGCTATGCAGATGTGCATTTCTTTAAGAGGATGACTCTACAGAATATTGTCAGGCAATGAGTGAAAACACTTACAAGCTCTTAAGAAATAGATTTCTGCAAATGAATGAAGGATCCTTGAAGAAAGCCCTAAAATATTGTATGCCCAGGTGAATCTGAAATATTAGAGCCAATTCTACTGCATGGTTGCATGCCAAAAATTTCATTTCATTCAACCAACCCAGCTCTGAAAACAGCATATGAAGGAGCTATGGTCAAGAAAAATAACTATTCTTATCTTGATTCAGCATCTTACAAATGACGGGATTTATTTTTTATTTTTATTTTTATTTTAGATTCAGGGTGAATGTGTGCAGGTTTGTTACGAGAGTATATTGTGTGATGCTGCACTAAGGGCTTCTATTGATCCCGTCATTCAGATAGTGAGTATAGTACCCAATAGGAAGTTTTTCAGCCATTGTTCCCCTCCATATTTCCCTCCTTTCTGCATCCCAGTGTTTATTGTTCCTGTCTTTATGTCCATGTGTATCTAACATATAAGTGTACCTCACTTATAAGTGAGAACATGCATTATTTGGTTTTCAGTTTCAGTATTAATTTGCTCAGGATAATAGCCTCCAGTCGCATCTATGTTTCTGCAAAGAATATGATTTGATTCTTTTATGGCTGCATAGTATTCCATGGTGTATATGTCCTACATTTTGTTTACCTAATCCACTGTTGGTGGGCACCTAGGTTATTTTCATGTCTTTGCTATTGTGAATATTGCTGCTATAAATATACAAGTTCATGTGTATTTTTCTTACAACAATTTATTTTCCTTTGAGTATATACCCAGTAAAGGGATCGCTGGTTCAAATGGTAGTTAGATTTTTAGTTGTTTGAGAAATCTCCAACTGCTTTCCATAGGGGCTAGACTAATTTACATTCCCACAGTGTATAGGCATTCCCTTTTCTCTGCAACCTTGACAACATCTGCTATTTTTTTGACTTTTTAATAAGAGCCATTCTGACTGGTGTGAGATGGTATCTCATTGTGGTTTTGATTTGTGTTTCTCTGATGATTAGTGATGCTGAGCATCTTTTCCTATGCTTGTTGACTACTTGTATGTCTTCTTTAGAGAAGTGTCTGTTCATGTATTTTATCAACTTTTGAATGAGGTTATTTGTTTTTTGCTTATTGATTTGTTTAACTCCTTGTAGGTTCTTGGTATTGTCCTTTATTGGAAGCGTAGTTTGCAAATATTTTCTCCCATCCAGTAGGGTGTTTGTTTACTCTGTTGATAGTTTCTTTTGCTATGTAGAGGCTCTTTAGTTGTCTAACTAGGTCCCATTTGTATATTTTTGTTTTTGTTGCAATTGCTTTTGGGGACTTAGTCATAAATTGTTTCCCAAGGTCAATGTTTAGAATGATGTTTCCTAGGTTTTCTTCTAGTATTCATATAGTTTGAAGTCTTACATTTAAATATTAAATCCATTTTGAGTTAATTTTTATAATGGTGAAAAGTAGGGGTACAGTTTTACTTTTCTGCCTATGGCTAGCCAGATATCCCAGCATAATTTAGTAAATAGATAGTCCTTTCCCTATTGCTTATTTTTGTCAACTTTGTTAAAGACCAAATGACTGTAGGTGTGCAGCTTAATTCTTATGTTCCCTATCCTGTTCCACTGGTCTATGTGTCTATTTTTGTACCAGTGCCAAGCTGTTTTAGTTACTGCAGCCTTGTAGTATAGCTTGATGTTGGATAGTGTGATGAACAGAAATGCAAAATCCTCAAGAAAATACTAGTAAACTGAATTCAATAGCAAACTAAAGATATCACACATAATGATCAAATAGGATGCAAGAATTGTTTGACATGCAAATCAATAAATGTGATACATCCCATCAATGGAATGAAGGGTAAAAATCATAAGTGTTTAACAAACTTTTGCCTCCTTTCATAATTAAAAACAACTCAACAAATTAGGTATAGAAAGAATATACCCAAACATAAAATGGCCATATATGACAAGACTGCAGATAACATCACATGTAATGGATAAAAGCTGAAAGCATTTTCTGTAAGATCGGAACAAGACAAGAATGCCCATTATTGCCACTCCTGTTCAACATATGCATCAAAAATTGTTATTAGTAATAAGTGAATTCAGAAAAGTTGCCATATAAAAAAGCAACATGCAAAAATCAGTTGTGTCTCTACACACTAACAATGAAGTATCCAAAAAGGAAATTAAGAAAGCAATTGTATGTATAATGGCATTAAAAATAATAAAATACTTAGGTATAAATTTAACCAAGGAGGTGAAAGATCTGTGCAATAAAATCTATAAAATATTGATGAATGAAATTAAAGAAGACACAAGTCAATGGTAACTATCTTAAGTTCCTGGATTGGAAGAATTGATATTGTTAAAATGTCCATACTATCCAAAGAAGTCTACAGATTCAATGGAAACCCTGTCAAATTTTGAATTGCATTTTTCAGAAAAATAAGAAAAAAATCCTAAAATTTGTATGGAATGATGAAAGGCCCTGCAAAGCCAAAGCAATGTGGAGCAAGAACAAAGCAGGTGGCATCACACTACCTGATTTCAAAATATACTATAAGGCTACAGTAATCAAAACAGTGTGGTACTGATATAATATCAGAGATATGTACCAATGGAACAGAATAAAGACTTGAGAAATAAATCCACACATTTTTTTTTATGGCGTATTAGTCTGTTTTCGTGCTGCTGATAAAGACATACCTGAGACTGGACAATTTACAAAAGAAAGAGGTTTAATTGGACTTACAGTACCACATGGCTGGGGAGGCCTCACAATCATGGTGGAAGGCAAGGAGGAGCAAGTCACATCTTACATGGATGGCAGCAGGCAAAAAAAGTGCTTGTGCAGGGCAACTTCGGTTTTTTAAAATGATCAGATCTCATGAGGCCCATTCATCATTATCATGAGAACAGCACAGAATAGACCTGCCCCCATAATTCAGTCATCTCCCACTGGGTCCCTCCCATAACATGTGGGAATTATGGGAGCTACAAGATGAGAATTGGGTGGTGACACAGAGCCAAACAAAATCATTCCGCCCCTGGCCCCTTCAAAATCTCACATCTGTCAGGCCTCTGAGCCCAAGCTAAGCCATCGCATCTCCTGTGACCTGCATATATACGCCCGGATGGCCTGAAGTAACTGAAGAATCACAAAAGAAGTGAAAATGGCCTGTTCCTGCCTTAACTGATGACATTCCACCACAAAAGTGAAAATGGCCAGTCCTTGCCTTAACTGATGACATTACCTTGTGAAATTCCTTTTCCTGGCTCATCTTGGCTCAAAAAGCTCCCCCACTGAGCACCTCGTGACCCCCACTCCTGCCTGCCAGAGAACAACCCCCCTTTGGCTGTGATTTTCCTTTACCTACCCAAATCTTATAAAACGGCTCCACCCCATCACCCTTCGCTGACTCTCTTTTCGGACTCAACCCGCCTGCACCCAGGTGAAATAAACAGCCTTGTTGCTCACACAAAGCTTGTTTGGTGGTCTCTTCACACGGACATGAGTGAAAATGTCCTCACATTTGAAAACCAATCATGCCTTCCCAACAGTCCCCCAAAGTCTTAACTCATTTCAAGCATTAACTCAAAAGTCCACAGTCCAAAGTCTCATCTGAGACAATGGAAGCCCCTTCCACCTATGAGCCTGTAAAATCAAAAGCAAGTTAGTTACTTCCAAGATACAATGGGAGTACAGGCATTGGGTAAATACAGCCATTCCAAATGGGAAAAATTGGCCAAAACAAAGGGGCTACAGGCCCAATGCAAGTCTGAAACCCAGCAGGGCGGTCAAGTCTTAAAGCTCCAAGATGCTCTCCTTTGACTCCATGTTGCACATCCAGGTCACACTGATTCAAGAGGTGGGTTCCCATAGTCTTGAGCAGCTTTGCCCCTGTGGTTTTGCAGGGTACAGCTTCCCTCCCAGCTACCTTCACGGGCTGGCATTGAGTGTCTGTGGCTTTTCCAGGCACACAGTGCAAACTGTCAGTGGACGTACCATTCTGGGGTCTGGAGGATGGTGGCCCTGTTCTCACAGCTCCACTAGGTGGTGCCCCAGTAGGGACTCTGTGTGGGGACTCCCACCCCACATTTCCCTTCTGCACTGCCCTAGCAGAGGTTCTCCATGAGGACCTCACCCCTACAGCAAACTTCTGCATGGGCATCCAGGTGGTTCCATACACATACATCTTTTGAAATCTAGGCACAGGTTCCCAAACCTCCATTCCTGACTTCTGTGCACTCACAGGCTCTACACCACATGGAAGCTACCATGGCTTGAGGCTTCTACCCTCTGAAGCCATGGCTCAAGCTCTACATTGGCTCCTTTCAGCCATGGCTGGAGTGGCTGGGATGCAGGGCACCAAGTCCCTAGGCTGCACACAGCACAGGGACCTAGGACCTGGTGCAGAAAACCATGTTTTCCTCCTATGCCTCCTGGCCTGTGATGCGAGGGGCTGCCGTGAAGAACTCAGCCATGCCCTGGAGATATTTCCCCCATGGTCTTGAGGAATGACATTGGGCTCCTCATTGCTTATGCAAATTTCTGCAGCTGGCTTGAATTTATCCTCAGAAAATGGGATTTTCTTTTCTATCACATTGTCAGGCTGCAAATTTTCTGAATTTTTATGCTCTGCTTCCCTTATAAAACTGAATGTCTTTAACAGCATCCAAGTCACCTCTTGAATCCTTTGCTCCTTAGAAATTTTTTCCACCAGATACCCTAAATTATCTCTCTCAAGTTCAAAGTTCCACAAATCTCTAGGGCAGGGGCAAAATGCTGCCCATCTTTTTGCTAAAACATAACAAGTTACCTTTGCTCCAGTTCCAAACAAGCTCCTCATCTCCACCTGAGACCACCTCAGCCTGGACCTTATTGTTCATATCACTATCAGCATTTTTGTCAAAGCCATTCAACAAGTCTTTAGGAAGTTCCAAACTTTCCCACATTTTCCTGTCTTCTGAGCCCTCCAAATTGTTTCAAACTCTGCCTGTTACCCAGTTCCAAAGTCACTTCCACACTTTCAGGTAACTTTTCAGAATGCCCCACTCTACTGTTACCAATTTACTGTATTAGTCTGTCTTCATGCTGCTGATAAAGACATACCTAAGATTGGACAATTTACAAAAGAAAGAGGTTTAATTGGACTTACAGTTCCACGTGGCTGGGGATGCCTCACAATGGTTGTGTAAGGGAAGGAGGAGCAAGTCACATCTTATATGGATCGTGGCCAATGTTGAGAAGATTATTTCCTAGGCTGTCTTCCAGGAATTTTACAGTTTGAAGTCTCACAAACTATTAAATATTCAATGCATTTTGAGTTAATTTTTTTATATAGTGAAATGTAGGGGTCCCAGCTTCAATCTTCTGCATATGGCTAGCCAGTTATCCCAGGACCATTTATTGAATAGGGAGTCCTTCACCCATCGCTTGTTTTGTCAGGCTTGTCAGATCAGATGGTTGTAGGTGTATGGCTTTATTTCTGAGTTTTCTATTCTGTTCCATTGGTCTATGTGGTTTTGCATACCAGTACCAAGCTGTTTTGGTTACTGTGGCTTTATATTATAGTTAGAAGTCAAGTAGTGTGATGCCACCAGCTTTGTTCTTTTTGCTTGGGATTGCTTTGGCTATTCAGGCTCTTTTCTGCTTCCATTTGAATTTTAGAATCTTTTTTTCTACTTCTGAGAAAAATGGCATTGGTTATTTGATAGAAATAGCATTGAATCTATAAATTGCTTTGGGAAATATGGCCATTTTAACAATATTGATTCTTCCTATCCATGAGCACGAAATGTTTCTCCATTTCTTGTGTCATTTCTGATTTCTTACAGCAGTGTTTTTTTATTTCTCCTTGAGATCTTTGCAGCAACATGTATGTAGTTGGAGGCCATAATCCTAAACAAATTAACATAGGAACAGAAAGCCAAATACCACATGTTTTCACTTATAAATGGGAGTTAAGCATTGAGTTAAGTGTTGTTACGATGAGTAACATGGACATAAATATGGAAACAATAGATACTGTGGACTACTAGAGGATGGAAGGTGTGTGGTGGATTGAAAAGCTATGCCTAATGCCAGAGTGATGGGATTTATACTCCAAACCTCAGCATTATGCAATATTTTCATGTAACAAATCTGTGCATTTACCCCCATATCTAAAATAAAAGTTGAAATAAAAAAAAAACTCTGCAAAATGCTTTGTACTCATATGTGCTCCAATTGTATTGCAGAAACTTCAAAGCTATCTTACTCAATTTAGTTTGTCTTTTAAAATATACCTGTTTTCAATCCATGGATAATGATTCAGATGTATTTTAAGCATATAAATTATTTTTAATTTAGATCTACTTTCATTGAGATAAAAATGTTGGCAGTTTATAAGTAAATTATTTCAATCTGCCAGGCGCATTGAAATTTTATCATAAAGTAGAGATGTTTGCCTCCTTTGCTGCAATTTTTTAGGAGATTTTTAGAAAGACAGAGTATAAGTATTAAACATAAGTTATGTCTGAAAAAAAAAAAAAACCTATTCAATTCCTCTAGGCCCAGAGACTATTGCAGAAGAGGTGGGCTCATGAGATTGTAAGCACCAATTTTGAGGAATAAAAATATAATTCTCTGACTTAAAGGAATCATTCAATGTATATATTATTATTTTATTTTATATATTATTGTTGCCATTCCAAATCCTTTGTGAAATAAAGCAGAATACACAAAAATAAAACATGATAGTTAATGATAATAATTAACATATATTGAATATTTATTATGGTTCTATGGACAGGGTATATGCCTAAGTTTTTCTAAGATTTGACTCAGAAATCCATGGAATTGTGTCCATTCGTTATCCCTGTTTTATAGATAAGGAAACTGATACTTCTAATTTGCTTCAAATCACATATTTGCTAAATTGCAGAACCAGAATTTGCATCAAGAGCTGTCTGACTCCACAACTGAATATTTAACTACTAAAATATAGTCTGAAGATATTAAAAAAGACACAACTTACAAATTGTCTATTTTTAATACTATTTAAAGTCTATGCCTACAACAAATTTTATAAGATACATACTTTTATTAATATTTGTATTGCTCATTAAAAATTAATATAATATTTCCTCTAAAAATGAAAAAAAGGTATTTTCTTCTCCCTTTTTTTTTGAGATGGAGTTTTGCTCTTGTCGCCCAGGCTGGAGTGCAATGGTGCGATCTCGGGTCACCACAACCTCCGCCTCCCAGGTTCAAGAGATTCTCCTGCCTCAGCCTCCCGAGTAGCTGGGATTACAGGCATGTGCCACCAAGCCCGCCTAATTTTTTGTATTTTTAGTAGAGATGAGGTTTCTCCATGTTGGTCAGGCTGGTCTCGAAATCCCGACCTCAGGTGATCCGCCAGCCTTGGCCTCCCAAAGTGCTGGGATTACAGGCGTGAGCCACTGTGCCGGCAGGTATTTTCTTTCAGATGCAAATCGAAGCAGTTCAGTGATAGTCTGTTCCTCTGTGCTCACATCCTAGACATTCTTCAAATCCAAGTGTGAGCGACGATTCTCCTGGAAACTTTTCCTTAAATGTCAACCTTTAATGATTTTCCTCTTTTACAAAGTAATAAACTTAGAGTTGTGCCATACAGATTTATATTTAACTGTTCTCTGATAAAATTATTTTTATTCAGTGTATATCCCCAAATAAGAACTAAGCTTCTTAAAAGCAAAATCAATGTCTTCTGTTTATTTTGAACTATGTACAATGCTTAGAAGAATTTTGAATCCAATAAATAGCTGTTGATCAGATTGCTTGATATTATAAGTTATTCAGATGAGTGATAAAAATTGATGGCTCTTGAAGACAAAATTTAATGAACTACCTAAACATTGCATTATACTTTCACATAACACTTTCCCAGATATTCCTAGAGTAATTTTGGTGATATTTTAGTTTTGTTAAAAATATTATTTTGAATTAAGAAGCTTTCTCAATGCACAAAGAATATTTTAGAGCCTTTCATCATAAATTGGAAATTCATGAACTTCTGATATTCATGATCCAGATTTAGTCATTCTACTTGCCAAATGAAGTAATTTTCACAATAGCAGGTAAAAGCTATTTTGGCTGGAACCAAATGAAAAAATATTGATTTGAAGATTTTTAAAGAAAATTTTCAAAGTAGTGTGTGAACAGTATTGGAAACTGACAAGAGCCATTTTTCGAGCTTATACTAAAGAACAAGTACCATTTCCTAGATCACAGTGAGGTGCTAAATAAAAGTTGTATGCATTGTATATCATTTTCATTTTGAAATAAGTTAAATGAATAAAATTAGTGTAAAATATCAAACCTGATTTTTAATATTATAATTAAAACTTTAAATACAAAGGAATGACTTGAGACAAAATTAAAGCCTCATGTTTAATAACCATTTTTGATGCCTTTATTCTATCTGAAGTATAGGTGTCAAGAAGCATATGATATTTCATGGTCAAGTCTTTAAGCAGGTTTCACTTAACCAAGCAATGAGAAATGACAGACCTCACAGAACTCGATAGTCAAATTATCTTTTGAAAATTCCCAGTGTCCGCCTCCAATTATTATGTGCAGAAAATCATACTGAAGTTATTGGCAAGTGACTGAAATATCAGTTATCCTAAATAAAATAAAATAAATACTGCTTATGTATTTAATACTAAAGTCTTAGATAAATATTATGAGGCTCTACTTTCCATTTATTATCAAATTAGGCATTTTAATATGAAAATATTTGAAACATATTAAGTGGGACATTATAGTTCTTTAAAAATCACCAATGGGAAAATCATAACTAATATCCTATTTCAAATAAAATAAGCTGAGAAATAATTTTTTAGAATTACAGAACAGAATCAAATGTGCAAAATTCATATGTTCTAACTTTAAATTTGAAAACATCTAATCTTTCTTAAGTGATTTACAATGGCTTATGTAACATCTGAATATTTATTAAGTGTTTGACTGAATACCTTTAACGTTGTTTTTTCCTATCTCGAAGGCATTTTGTTTTTCCTTGTTTGCTAGGGAACAGTTCCTTTGGAAAATTGCAGGCAACATTTCCTTTGGTTACATTGAAAATCTACATGGTCATTCATTAGATGGAAGCCAACTGATTACATATGAATTTGTCCTGCCAAGATGTAGAGTTAATCATTTTTTTGGAGACGAATGAGGAACCTAAGCATTCTGTAGCTGATGGGGATGTCAGGGTTTTTGTAAATAGTATGCTATACTCATTTATCTTTCTTATTCTTTCAAAAGAATGGAACACAATAAAAGTCTGACTCTACAGCAAAGAAAGTCACAGAACCTATATAAGTCTGGTGCAGGAGAGAATAACGGAAAAAAAGTCACAATCATAACACTAACATGAGTAACAACTAACACTTACTGAGCACTTACTATATGCCAGGCACTATGGTTTGAATTGTTCATGCATTTCTTCATATACTTTTCACAGAACCCTATAAGATAGGCACTGTTATTCTTTTCATGGAGATAGATTACTTGCTCAAAGTCACACAATTAGCTGCTGAATGTGTACTACTGCCCAAATTATAAATCTTAAGTTCCGAATGACTAGGATTTATAATCACAAAACAGCAAAGTGCCTGCAATGCAGTAGGGACTTAAAAATATTAAGCGAGTTGATTAAACGTTACCTTTATGAATTAGTACATTAAAAAAGAAAAAAAAATCTTAGACTATTGAGTGTTTTCTTATTATATGCAGATTCTCTATATAATTTAAACTTGCTAAACTTGGGGAACATAACAGAAAATAGGAAAGTTAGAATGTGTTTGTTTCTGGGTTCACTTGTCCAAAAATATTTTAAAGACCATCCGTGTTAAACCATGTATTACGCACTAGTGATATAACCAGTATAAATCAGAAAGAGCCCTGCCTTCTCAGAGTTCATAGTGGAGCTCATCTACCACAGGTCTCTGTTAAACACTGGCTTCAAAATAAAATGAAATCTACAAAACCCGTTTCCAGGGAAACTATTATCAAAGTAGAGTCTGTTTCTTTTGCTCCAAACACCCTTCGTTTCTTTTCATCCTAGTAATACCTACCCATCCATTCACCCTTAAAGAATGTGCTTAAATGTTAATTTGTGTAAATAGAATTGCTAATGATAATCACTTCCTTCTCAGTAATGAAATGATATTACTTCTCAGTAATATCATTTCATAATATATATCAGCTGTGTTATAGCACACATTATTGTGATTACTCAATTACCTCTTGAAGGCAACAGTCATATTTATCGCTTTGCATACTGCCTTAGGTTTAGTAGGTGCTTTTCTTAGGTTAGAAACAGATAATGTTTCTGAGATGAGGATTCCTGTGCAAGTGATTTATTAAGAAAGTGCTCTTGACCCAGGGGAAACTGGTAAGGGAGCCGGGGGCAACAGGATAGGCAAGGGGTGGAAGTCTAACAAAGATTTGATCTCAGGGCAATTCCTACAGATGATAAAACTTCAGTCTGATCCTATAGGGTAACCCTGGAGTGAAAGCTAAGTCTGAGATATCTTGTCCCAAGAAAAGAAAGCTGGGTTTTTATGTCCTGCCCATCAAACAGAGGATGTAAATCCCTAGGCATTTCTAGCTATGTGTATGTGTATGTGTATGTGTATGTGTATGTGTAGTGTATGTGTAGTGTGTGTGTGTGTGTACATGCAAGCACTGCAAAAGAGCCATCAGTAGCCCAAGGGCAGTGTTGTGAAAAAGATGCAAAGTTGCTGACTGTTAGATGCAAAAGCACACCAAAGGGGAGCTTAGGTGCACATGTGCATAGTAAAAAGGAATCTGAGGGATCTGGCACAGTAATGATAATATCTACTACAGAGCTCAATATTCATTTTGTAAGATAAAGAATCAATCCATTCATGACTCAGGCTAAGGCAGCATAACTGGGATAAGTCACATGAAGAATCAATGGGTTCAGAGTCAGAGTTCAGAGAAAAACAAAAACTAAACAATACCATTTAGACTATTGACATTATCTCTTAACTTGCTGCTTCCTTATTTAATTTCCATTACACAATAAATCACCAGCTTTCTCCAGTGTTCACTGCTGGCTAAAACAGGTACTACAAAGGAGAAGGTACATAAGTAGGAATGGTATTTGGTGTAAGCAGTTACTGAAGTAGTCTAGAGAGCTGAGAGTCACAATCTGGGTCCATGACCAAACTTTCTCAGATTCTTATTTTTTCAGAAGAGATAAAATTAATATTATGAATATAAGTTGAATTTAGAACCATTTATTTTTTTCTGTTTTCTACTGTATTCTACAGTTCTCAGATTTCTGTTAGCCATAGAACTCCTCATCCAAAGAGATGTACACACAAATTGAAACCATCCATTTGAGCCTAACAGGTTTTACACCCCAGGCGCTTGGCATAACCATGGGAAAAGTGTGCATAAAATGTTATATTCACAATTTAATACAAAATCTCTTATGTCCTTCAACTTTTTCCTACAACAAATCAAACTCCAAATATTACACCTCTTTCCCAACACACAGCAAAACTGCATAACAGTAGTTTATCAGCTAGCAGTTTGACCCTGAGTAAATAGTGACAGTTTAGAACATGACAGATCTGGCTGGGCACGGTGGCTTATACCTATAATCCCAGCACTTCAGAAGGCCGAGACAGAGGGATCACGAGATCAGGAGTTTGAGACCAGCCTCACCAACATGTTGAAATCCCATCTACTAAAAATACAAAAATTAGCCGGGCATGGTGGCGCGCGCCTGTAATCCCAGCTACTCAGGAGTCTGAGGTAGGAGAATCGCTTGAACCCGGGAGGCGGGGGTTGCAGTGAGCCAAGATTGTGCCACTTCACTTCAGCCTGGGTGGCTGAGTGAGACTCTGTCTCAAAAAAAATAAAATAAAAATAAATAAATAAATGAATAAATAAATAAATAAATAATTATGACAGATCTGGCCCTGAATTTTGTCTCTGCTATTTATTATAAGGATCATCTTATACAATTAATTTCACTTCAGCTTTAGTTTCCTTATGTATAAAATAAAAATAATCATATAATCTAACTTGCAATGTTGTATGAGCATTAAATAAGACAATCTGTATGAATTCCTACCTTCAGTGCTTAACAAAAGAGAAATCGCCCATAGATGGCAGCATTTTACCAGAACTCAAATCTCTAACCATTTTTATTTTTTTAAGCAGGAGAAACGTTATTCTTCAAGCCATAATAATATTGGCATAAAGGTGTACATATTTTGCCACTCTACATAGTGTTAATCAAATTTTCCAGTTCACCTAAGTGTGTCAGTTCAAGGGCTCACAAAGTAGATGCCAAGATGGAATAAGGAGTATAAGAGATTTATTGGGGCGTGACAAAGACTGCTTCCTTGGCCAAACTTTAGACAGCCTTCTCTGAGCCCTCTTTTCAACTAGGCCCTGTCTTTGGACTGCCTAGCCCAGGTTTAGCAAGAATCCTGCTGAGGCAGTGTAGTAAGAATGCCTTGATATCAGATTATCCTGGCCTGACTTCAGCAAGAATCCTGTTAAGTTGGTTTAGCAAAAATGACCCTACCCTTGATGTTTCCTCTTCCTAACTTTCCATCCTCTGATGCCCCTCATTCTGCTCATTGGCTATAAATCCCCAGTTATCTACTGTATTAGGAGTTGAGCTTAATCTCTCTCCCCTATTATGGTAGTGTTAACATCTATTGCAATAGTGTTCCCAAATGAAGTCATCCTTACCTTTTTACAAATGTCAGAATACTTTTTTTTAACAGATGACACCTATGTAAGATAAGGGGGAAGGGGCCAAGAGTAGGTCAGAAAAATCTTCTGACAATAATGTTGTTCTGACCCCCTCCTGTGAATGGAGAAGGGGGAAAGTAGGAGGAGGGGATAGGAAGAGCCTCAGAGCACAGTGCAGCTCTGAGAAGGTCTTGGCAATAGAATGGAGAGCTCTAGCGTAAAGATTGCCCATAGGAGACAGTGCATTGGGCAGAAATGGCCAGACCCAAATTCCTTTTCCATGCTCAGTCATTGGCTGGGGACTTCCTGGGGAGAGTGTATCCTTGGCTCAAATGCCTACACTGAATCCCAAATCCTAAAGGCACTGCAGCTGGAGGCTGTTAGCTAACTGCACTCCCCCTATCAGGTTCTCTCTCCAATTTCCAATGGAGCTCTGAGCAGTTGCCACACTTAGTCAGGTGCTCATGTTCTGTGTTTAGATGACAGTGTAATAGAATTGAAAGCAATGTGTTTCGAGTCTGGACTTACTAGTTGTGAGACCATAAGAAAGTAGCTGAAACCCTTTGAGCTCAGAGAAAACATATGGCAGTGACTGTTCCAGGATAATCTTGAGAGCTGTGATCATTCACTATAGTCTCAAGGTGTGGATTCCAACAGTGGAGCTATTGCCAAAGCTTTATTTTCTTCTTTCTCCATTTCTACAGCCTGATTCTTTTACCTGCTCAAAAAACCTTGATATGCCCATTTTGAAAGCCATTGCTTCTTTTCCTTCTTCCTCAGTTTCCCCAAATTCAGTTTCTACTAATATTAATGCCCAATAACTTGCATAAGTCAGGATGGGTTATGCTATGCTGCAGTGACAAACAACCTAAATATCTCAGAGGCTCAGTCATTCTACATACCTAGCAGCTGCAACTCTGCTATACATTGAGGCAGGAAGAAAAAAAAAGATATGGTGAACCACACATTCACTCTTAAAATTTGTGCTGCAAAATGGCACGCATTGTTTGACCAAGGAAAATCATGTTATTAAACCTAATGTCAACAGAACAAAATGCAGAATCCTCTTATAAGACTTCTCAGTAATCAAATCTACTATGTAGTCCCCTAGTTTTCATAACTTCAAACGGCAATCTGAATGTCTTTTTTTCCTTACAACATGTATTCTGATATCAGTACTTCCATTTGTACAGTCAACAGAAACTAAGAAATTAGCTGCATGTGTCTCTCTTAAGAACTCCTTCTGAAACTCCTTACTTGAGCTCTCACATTTGTTTGACTTCTTATGACTGCAGCACCTTAGCAAATATATTCTAAGGATATCATCGAGCTTTGTATGAAATGCATTAATCATTCATGCAGTTTTGATTGGCTTCTCTTCTTTATACAGTATATAGCAGCCAAGCAAGGTCACTGTTGTAAGATTTATTACAAAGTGTCTTACTGACAATCGATTTTTCTCCTTCTAATATCTTATTGTGATACATTAGCCTATGGGCTTTTTTTGGTCATTATTTAGAAGAGTAAAAGTAGCACTTATCTGTCCTAATTCTTTAACAATCAGCCATTGTAAGAGGAAATTCAGAAGGGAAAAATTACAATGATGTATTGTTTCCCTAGTCACAAATGTGAAATAAGTCAATAAGGCAAATGAGTTAGCTCGGAATATTCAGTGGTCCCAGGAATTACTGCCATTTGGTACTGGTACCATTTTTAGGTAGAAATGTAGTGAAATTTGCAATCTATAAAAATGTCAGGTTGTATCTCTTCCTGAACTGTCCTCTTCCCATTTTTCATTAGAATGATTTTGTAATTCCACAGTAATCTTTAGTAGGAAATACTTATAGAAGTAATAGATGGTTTTAAAAACTCCAAAGATCAGTTTATAGAATATGATACACTTTTTACATTAATGCGTTTTGGAAAAAATGTGTAAAAGTAAAAAATGTTTTTATACAAATCAAATATGTAACTTTTTAAGAAGATACTTGAAAAACGTACATGATGATTCCCTTTTTTTTAATACTAGTTGTCATCTTTTGATATTTTGTAATTGGAAGCCTGCCTTTCCAATTCTGACTCTTGCTTTGTGTCTTCTTACAACTATAACTACAGTTCCTAAACTGTGTATCAAGGCACTTTGTGATACTAAGAGCTGTTTTAAAATTTCGAAACAGATTGACTTCTTGATTTGGTTCTTTGCTTGATCATTACTGGTGTATAGAAATGCTATTGATTTTTGTATGTTGATTTTGTATGCTGAGACTTTATTGAATTCATTTATTAAATCTAGGAGTTTTTTGGAGGAGTATTTAGGGATTTCTAGGTATAAGATCATATTGTCAGCAAAGAGAGATAATTTGACTTCCTCTTTTCTCATTTGGATGCCTTTTCTTTCTTCCTCTTGCCTGATTACTCTGGCTAACACGTCTAGTACTATGTTGAATGGGAGTGGTGAGAGTCTGCATCCTTGACCTGTTCCAAATCTTGGGGGAATGCTTTCAGATATCCCCATTCAGCGTGGTGTTGGTCATGGGCACAATAAAAGAAATAATCAATAGTGTGAACAGACAGTCTGCACAATTGGAGAAAATATTTGTAAATTATGCATCCAACAAGGGACTAATATCCAGACTCTAAAAGGTACTCAAACAACTCAACAAAATACCTGCAAATAACCCCATTAAAAAGCAAACAAAGGACATGAACAAGCGTTTTGCAAAAGAAGACATACAAATGGCCAAGAAGCATATGAAAAAAAAAATGCTCAACATCACTCTTCATCAGAAAAATGCAAATCCAAACCACAATGAGACTCCATCTTACACCAGTCAGAATGGCTATTAAAAGGCAAAAATAACAGATGTTGGTGAGGATGTGCAGAAATCAGAGCACTTATATACACTGTTAGTGGGAATGCAATTAGTATAACCTCTATGGAAAACAGTATGGAGATTTCCCAAAGAACTAAAAATAGATCTACCATTCTATTCAGCAGTCCCACTACTGAGTATGTACTCAAAGGAAAAAAAAATCATTATATCAAAAATATTCCTGAACCCGTATGTTTATTACAGCACTATTCACAATATCAGAAATATGAAATCAACCTAAGTGCCCACTGATGGATAATTGGATAAAGAAAATGTGGTATGTATACACAAATAAATACTATTGATCCATAAAAAAAAATAATGAAATCATGTCTTTTGCAGCAACATGGATGGAACCGGAGGACATTATCTGATGTGATGTAACTCAGAAAGTCAAATACGGCACGTTCTCACTCATAAGTGGAAACCAAATAATGTGTGTACATGGACATAGAGACTGGAATGATAGGCAATGGAGATTTGGGAGGGTGAGAAGTTGGGGGTGGCGGTGTGTGGGGTGAAAAATTACTTAGTGGGTAAAATGTTTACTCTCCAGGTGATAACTACAGTAAAAGCCCAGACTTTGCTACTATACAATTTATACATGTAGCAAAATGGCACTTGTACTTTCTAAATATATGAAAACTAAAAAACAAATTCAAAAGGAATCTACTAATATCCATCAGACACAGTATAAACTACTAGGAAAGGTAGTTCCCAGTTTCACCATTAGATCACGTGAAATTCCTTTTTGGTAACATTGTATCTTTGTGAAACGGGGTTTTAGCAATTTCCAGGATAAAAAGAAAGTACTGCACAAAAATAATATAGTACAAGAAATGAGGGCGATCATCTACAAACTGATTCCAAGGTTTGAGAGTGTGTACAGTGCTCAACAGGTACATGCATCTTGTGGCTAGTTAAAAATGAAATAAAAGTTCTATTTTTCTTTTAATCTATGTGTATTACATTTTTTCCCCAAGTGACTACTAAATTATCAGTGAAAAATGCCTATTAAGTTGTCAGGGCATAACTCAATAAACAAAACTATAACATATGAATTTTGGTCTGGGGGCCCCACATAAAATTTTACTGAAACACTGAGGTTATTTTGCTGTGAGAACACTTAAGACCCTCTGAACTATATGTATTATCTCCAGTGAAATATTTGAATATAACAAGGAGTGTTACAGTGGCAAAACTGTTTTCAAATTATTCAAAATAATAGATGATATGAATTTATAAATATATATAAAATAGTGTCGTGCAGGATACTTTATGCCCTCCATGAATCCAAAAGGGAAAATGTTTGTTGCATCTGAACCTCAACTTATAATTTAACCATACATAATTTTCTATGGTGGATAATAAAAATATTCAGACATGTTCATTAATTCTAATTTATTAACTCTTAGTTGATCTAGTTGTTTAAAACATGTTATTTTGATCAGGTAGTAGACATTGATGGTTGCTTTCCCTGGAATCTACCCACTTACCATCATACACACACACACACACACACACACACACACACACACACACACAAGCACATCACACATACACACACACGTATACAAGGCAACCATGTTATCCTACCTCTTTGCTCCAGATTTGGATCTACCCAAACCAGTCAACATAATTCCATTCCCCTTAGGCCAATGTGTGGTTAAGAATGAGCATGTGATGTGAATTAGTTGGCCTGGGCACGGTGGCTCACGCCTGTGATCCTAGCACTTTGGGAGGCCGAGGAGGGCAGATCACGAGGTCAGGAGATCGAGACCATCCTGGCCAACACGGTGAAACCCCGTCTCTACCAAAAATACAAAAAGTTAGCCGGGCGTGGTGGCACACACCTGTAGTCCCAGCTACTCGGGAAGCTGAGGCAGGAGAATCGCTTGAACCCAGGAGGCCAAGGTTGCAGTGAGTCGAGATGGTGCCACTGCACTCCAGTCTGGGTGACAGAGTGAGACTCCGTCTCAAAATAAATAAATTAATTAAAATGTTGCTTAGCACTGTTTTATGGTTGGAAGAAGAGATGCTCTCACTTGCTCACTGAAGGAAAACTAGGCAGCCTGTGTCACAGGTTGTGTTAGCAGCCATCTTAAAAGAGTTAGGGGAACAAGCCTCAGGAATAGGTCAACTCTATGAAGGCAAAAAACAGTTACTCTATCAAAATAAAAAGTTAGTTTTGGTGACACTTTTACTTTGCTGAACCAATTCTAACTTGAAGCCATCTACGTGTAAACCAACCTGCAACACAAACATATTTGGAATTTTCAGAAAATTGAGCCAATAAGTGTTATCTTTGTTAAAATTTTCTGTTACTTGCAACCAAATCATTTTTAGTGGTACAGATGTCTTACTCCTTTTATAGACACAAGTAATAACACCTTAGAAAGTAATGCTAAAACTCAAACAAAATTTTTTTGTTGTTGTGGGAAAACAATTTGTTGCCATTCAAATAATGATAATAAGTGAGGTTAATTCTGTGTGAGGTTAATTCTCCATTTCTATGAAAAAAAATCACACTTATTTAATGTCATGTAACTACCATATATGTATGTGTGTTTGTGCCTACATGAGTATACAAATACACGGATGTACTAAAAAAAACAGAGACTAACTTTCGTTGAGTTTCTATCATGTGTGAGCCAAGATTATGTTATTTAAAATATGTTTTCTCATATTATGGTTTATTAAATAAATACCCTCAAACTGCACAATTCCTCTTTGGTAAACAAAAATATTTTTAAACTAATTAAATATTTTCAATCTAAAATTTCCCCATTATAGGTACATGCTAGAAAAATAGTGATGGTCATTTAAATCAGTGGTTCTCAACCATGGCTGCCCATGACCGTCCTTGGTTATATGAATTTTGTTTGTCTGTATTGAGGTCTATGCATTATTAACAATGCTCCAGGTTATTCTAAATGTGCGGTTAGGATAGAGTAACTCCATTTTATGAGATCTTCCTCAAAGAGTCTTTGTTCCCACTACCTACTTTTGTTTCTTTAACCTCTCTGCCAAGTTTCTGACCTATGAATAATTAGCCAGCAGCTTTATCCTGTTTTAATTCAGAGTATAGACAGTCAAGCTGCAGCTACATATTGGACTCTGTCAGGAACCTAAGCTAAAATATCAACCCATTTTTTTTCTTTCTTCACCTTCCTTCAGTAAATCACCAGCTGTCAGCATCTCCTTTGGATTTTCTGGCTTTTAAGAGTCAATGCTTAACAAACATCATTTTGCTCCCTTAGCTGAATTGAAGGGCATCAGTAAGAAATCTATTAGGAGGCTTGAGAATGTGAACTTGGGCATAGACTTTAATTCAAGTAATTTTCCTTGCTGTCTGTGAAGTAACAGTGATGGGATGATTGCCTCCTCCCACGTTTTCTTCCAAGCTCTCAAAATGCTAAGCATTACTAATCAATAGCAGGTAAATTAGATTCAATGAAAACTGTTGGTGTTTATTTTCAAACACATTACCACAGAAGTCTTGCTCCAAATGTGACATCTGTGTTTCACTAAAAGGTAAGAAAACCATGACTATTTATAGCTTAAATCATTGCTATGTTGTTTTGTTTTTCTCAATAGCGCTTTCTCACTATTTTCTCAAATTGCAGGACTCTCCAGAAGTGAAATAAATTTCAGAGTCCTAAGTATTATATTTCATTACAATACAGGATACACAAAAGCCTTCAAAATAATTTGATTCCTAATTTTTTGAGGTTTAAGAGAGATTTTCTGGACACGGTGGAAACAGGATATACGCTTTTTTTTTTTGTGATCTGAATCACGCACAATAGTACCAGCTGCTTCCGTTTTCTTACTCCGAACAATATCTTTACACACTGCCATTAGAGAACAGCACTCTCAGGCTTATTAAAGTCATTTGTAAATTGTTGAAGGCAAAGATCACAGTTGGGTGTACATTTCCCAAAATGTATTGTTACTAGATGTCAGGCTTATTCACTTCCTGTTATTTAAATGAGATTCCAGAGTCTTATATATGAGTATTGTGAAAATATAACATAATAAAATACAGAACTATATCTTTCCTGGTTCCTTAAATAATTGGGTTGTGTGTGTGTGCGTGTGTGTGTGTGTGTGTGTGTGTGTATTTTAAAGTCTACATTTTATTTGCATTTCAGAATTCTGGCTAAAAGGCTTATTTTATATATACAGAGAGAGACTTTTATACAACCAATATCTAGAACTCTCTAAACTCACTTAGTTCTCTATGAAATCACCAAAGGTCCAACTAAAATCCTGCTTAATATAACATAAAATGCTGCTAGATTCAATTTAGAACTTACCCCTATTATTTTGTGGCATTACTGTAGCCACCTAAGGTAAGTGATGAAGAGAAGAAAAAGTACGCATCCCCTCATCATTTCCTATCTCCTGAAAAGTGTTATCTGACTTGAAGAAGAAAAACATGTCTTGGGGAAAGAACTATAGACAAATAGAAAAACCTACACTTGAAAGATTCAAAGTTAAAATGGTATCTACAGTGAGAAAGCTTGTTCTCTCCGTCTGACAGAATTCTGCTTTTTTCATCAGCATTCAGTTTTAATGCATTTTTCAGTAATGCAAACAACAATAAACAAATGAAAAAGCAAAGAAAACATATCACTTAGAACCAGATGTCCGATTTAGTTATCATGTAATCAGAGGAGTCAAAAGCCAATTTCACTCAGTAAAGAAAAAGCAGATATGTAACTTTTATAGCCAATGATGCTTTCACTGGGAAAAAAGAGGTTGTTAATGTGAATATGCATGTGAAAGTTACTATTGTCTTTAACGCAAGCTTGCAATATTTTCAACATTCAGATAAATTACTAAAAAAGGCTTTTTCCTTCAATAAGCAAATTCAGGAGAACTTTTAATACAGCAAAATCTAAATGTGATTACAAGTTACACTTTTTGTCAAGGATTTGAAAGACTGTCTATTAGGCTTCAGGTATTTGTGTTATGGGCTTTAGGAAAAACATGTAATACATGCAACGTACAGAGGGTTTTAAATTTGAAAATGTATTAGCAATATTATTAAGATATCCAATTAAGAAGAGTCACACATAATGTTTATTTTGGTATCAAAGGAAACATGGAAATTTTGAGGTAAGGTAGATCAACACTCTTCATTTTACAGATAAAGAAACTCACCTCAAAGAGGTCAAATGACTCACTAAATATAGGCAGTTAGCAGAATAATCAGGAAAAGAAAGCAAATCTTTTAGTTGAGTCACATTTTTTCCATTACAGCACACCTCACTGAGAAGAATCCGAAACGTCACAGATTATCACCATCTACAGAATGAACTATGTAACAAACACAAACATAAATTTATTTTAAATACAAACGTACATTAATTTTTAAAATTTAGCTTGTCTCATTAGATAAACTGTATTAAATACAGGAAAGTATAAAAGTGCAAAAAACATACTTAGTTTAAAAAGGAGGAAATGCTGTCATTTGTAACAACTTCGATGAACCTGGGGGACATTATGTTAAGTAAAATAACTAGGCACAGAAAGATAAACAATGCATGTCACTTACATGGGGAATCTAAAAAGTCAAACTCATGGAAGCAAAGAATGGTGGTCACCAGGAACTGGCAGCAATTAGGGAAGAGAGGCATTGGGATGATGTTAGTCAAAGGATATAAAATTTCACTTAGATATGAGAGATAACTTCAAGAGATCCATTATACAACATGGTGACTGTGGTTAATAACAACGTATTGTATACTTGAAAATAGCCAAGAGAGTAGATTTTAAGTGTTCTCACCATAAAAAATGTTAAGTATGTGAGTTAATAGATACGTTAATTAGCTTGATTTAGCTGTTTCACAATGTACACATATTAAAATGGATTAAATATTTAATTAGTTTTCTCTAAATTGTCTACTTTGGGTCCAAAGTCTGTGAGAATCTTTTGTATTTCTGTGGGATCAGATGTAACATTACCTTTTTCTTTTCTGATTGTGCTCATTTGGATCTTTCTTTTTTTCTTTGTTAATCTAGCTAGCAGTCTATGGATCTCGTTTATCCTTTCAAAGGACCAACTTGGTTTTGTCGATTCTTTATATGGATTTTTGGGTCTCAATTTCATTCAGTTCTGCTCTTGGTTATTGCTTTGCTTCTACTAGCTTTAGGGTTAGTTTGTTCTTGGTTTTTGTTTTTTTAGTTCCTCTAGGTGTGATGTTAGTTAATTTCAGATATTTTTAGCTTTTTGAGATTAGTAGTTAGCACAATACATTTTCCTCTTAACACTGATTTTGCTATATGTGAAAGATTTTGGTGTGTTGTATCTCTGTTTTCATTCATTTCAAAAAATTTTATTAATTTTTCATTAATAAAAAATTAACTTTATTGTTTACCTAAAAGTCATTCAGGAGTAAGTTGTTTAATTTCCATGTAATTGTGTGGAATTGAGAGATCTTCTGGGAGTTGATTTCTATTTTTATCCATTGTGGTCTGAAAGTATGGTTAGTATAATTTCATTTTTTTAAATTTATTGAGACTTGGTTTATGGTTGAACATGTGGTACATCTTAGAGTATGTTTCATGTGCAGATGAGAATAATATATATTGTGTGGTTGATGGGTGGAGTGCTCTATAGTTGTCCACTAAGTCCAATTGTTCGAAGGCCAAATCTAAATCTCCAATTTCTTCATTAGTTTTCTGCCTTGATGATCCATCTAATGATTTCAGTGGGATGTTGAAATCCTCCACTGTTATTGTGTGGCTGTCCAAGTCTTTTTGTAGGTCTTACAGTTATTTCATGAATCTAGATGCTCTAGTGTTGGGTGTGTATATATTTAGGATAGTTATGCCTTTTTGTTTAACATTTATCATTATGTAATGCCTTTCTTTGTCCTTTTTTACTGTTGTTTGTTTAAAGTCTGCTTCATCTAATATAAGAATAATGACCCCTGCTCTTTTTTGTTTTCCATTCGCATAACATATTTTTCTCCAATTCTATACTTTGAGCCTATGGTTGTTTTGTGTGACATGAGTTTCTTGAAGACAGTAGATGAATGGGTCTTGTTTTTTTTCCAACTTGCAACTCTGTGCCATTTATGTGGGGGCATTTAGGCCATTTATATTCAAGGTTAATACTGATATGTGAGGTTGTGATCCTATTGTGAAGTTGTAAGCTGGTCTCTTTGTAGTTTCTATTTTGTGTTTGCTTTATAGGGTCTTTGGGCTATGTACTTTAGTGATCTTTTATGGTAGCAGGTATCATTCTGTTGTTTTGATGTTTAGAATTCCCTTAAGAATCTCTTGTAATTCTGGTCTAGTAGTAACAAATTCCCATAGTGCTTGCTTGTCTGGAAAATATTTTATTTCTCCTGCAATTATGAGGCTGAGTTTGGCAGGATATGAAATTATTGGTTGGAATTTCCTTTCTTTAAGAATGCTAAAAATAGGCCCTAATCTCTCCCATCTGATAAGTTTTCTGATGAGAAGTCAGACACTCATCTCATGAGTGTCTTTCAGGTGTTCTCTGAAGTTCATGTATCTGGATGTCTACCTCTCTAGCAAAATTAGGGAAATTTTCTTGAATTAGTCTCTTACATATGTTTTCCTGGTTATTTCCTTTTCTTCTTTCTCTCTCAGGAATGCCAATAATTTGTAGGTTTGGTCACTTTACATAATACCAAATTTCTCAAGGACTTAATCTTTTAGAATCCTTTTTTATTTTTGTATGACTGGGTTAATTTAAAAGAGCAATCTTGAAGCTCTGGAGTTCATTCTTCTACTTAGTTCAGTCTATTGATAAAGCTTTCAGTTGTATTTTAAGGTTTTTGTACTCCAGAAGCTCTGATTAATTTCTTTTTAAGATGTTTACCTTTTCCTTCATTTCCTGGATTGATTTAGAAGCTTATTTGTGTTGATATTCAACCTTGTCTTGGATCTCATTGAATTTTCTTGTAATCTTGATTTGAAGTGTCTATCTGTCATTTCTGAGTTTCCATTCTGGTTTGTGACCACTGCTGGAGAGCTAGTATAATCATTTGGTGTCACTACATTCAGATTGTTCATGGTGACAGAATTCTTGCACTGGTTCCTTCTCATCTAGAGATCCTGGCAATTCTAATTTTTGTAAATATTTTCATGCTGATAGGATTTTTTTCTTTCTTTCCTTATAATATTATTGCTTTTTTTTTTCTTTCCCTTTTCTTTTACTCCCATCCTTATGGGATGTGACTTTAGAGGGTACTGATTAGGGTCTTTTGGCTTTGCTTCTATAGCCCTATGCACTTCTTTCGGCAGGTTTTATATTGGACTATGCAGTTTAACCCACAAGCCAGTAGATGACACTTATGGGTAAGATACTACTGCAGCCAATATGACTAGGTACATACTTGATCCTTCTTTACTGGAAGAAGCTCTCTGTTGCCTCAGGCAACGGGCTTATTTGTGGAGTGCACAGTGGGCTGAGCTCCCTGCCCTGCCCCAGAGGTACTGGGTCAAGATGGGCAGGTCCAGAACAGTCAGGCCCCTCTACAGGTACCCCAGTGGCAGGCAGAAGCACCAGTGCTTTGGAGGAATCCAGTGGGTACCCACCAAGCACCTAGAGGTGTGCCTAGGCATGGAGGTGGGAAACTTCCTCAGCTACAAGTTATCTGCATGGGGGGAAGAGGTAGCCTAAATTTCTAATCCAGGAGAGTCAGTGCTCCATGTTCCTGGAGATCTGCCTGGCCATGAAGTGGAGAGGCATCCTTGCACCAGGATCTCTGCACAGGAAGGGTGGGGCATCTCAGCTCGTTAGTCCATGTGAGTGGATGCTCTGAATGCCTGGAGATCCGACTGTGTGTGGAACAGAGAGGCCCCCACTTGCACCATGATCTATGCACAAGAAAAATTAATATTAATTTTTTTCTTTTTAAATGAATATTACCTTCCTGGAATTCACTCTATATTAGTTAATAGGGATCTTTCTCATTCTGTTTTACAGTTACATAGTACTCACTTGTGTGTATGTAACATAGTTTATTCAACCTCTCTCTAAGCTTGGACATCTAGGTAGTTTTCAATATTTTGTGATTACAAATAATGCTTCAATAAATAACCTTGGTCATTTGTATTTTCATATTGTTGGAGTTGTGTCTTCAGGGTAAACTCTGAGAAGCTGGACTTCTAAGTTGAAGGATAAATGCCTATGTGCCTTTGATATATTTTACCAAATTCTCCTTCATATGAGATTGTAACATTTGGATTGTTACTGGTAATGTATGAGAGTGCCTGTTTACCCCAGGCTCAGCATGAACTTTATACAAAAGTTAAGATGATGCTGTTAAGATCATATTATTTCCCAATTTTAAAATATCACATTGTATTACAGGCACTTCCATATGCCATTAAAGCCCTCTGTAAATATGATTGTATATGGTTACATTATTGTCCATGAAGGCACTATACTATAATCAATGCATTCCATTTTGTACATTTATATACTTTTTAAATATTATTTTTACACTAAGTTACAATGAATATTTTTATTTTATAATCATTCATCTATGTGTAAGACTGTGTCATTAGAATAAATTTCTAATATTTTTTCACTTAGTATCTTCATATGAAAGACACTGAAGCTTAGAAAAGTTTTTGCATTCTGTGAAAGATCTTTAGCAGAAATATTTTGCTAAAATCAAACAATTTACACAAATATGTGGGGCAATGAAGTTTTATTAAGTACAGTCATTAATGCAGTGGAGAGGAGAGGAAAGTACTGACTAAAGCAATCCCACTGACCTCCACGAATACTTCAAAATGTCTTTTTGTGTTTTCATCGGGGAGTTCTGGATTTGGTGAGCTTTAGAGTTTTAATAAAGAGCTTCAGAATGATTGCCAAGTACTTCAAGTGTTCTTGAGTGCACTTGGTGTTTGCAAGAATTTTCATTTCATAAATTACTTTTTGTAGTAATTTAAGAAACTAAGTGCTTTTCTTTAAGCACCCAAATTTATGGTACAATCTCTATTGAAAATTTATGAACTTGTATCGTCTTCCTGTCTTAACATTGGGTCACTCTTCTGAGAAGCAAGTTCAAGTTTTTTATAGAATTTTCCTTTTCTCTGGAAACAGCAGGCTCTTAGAGAGGAATGCCTGTTTTCATTAAAGCTGTAACATAGCTGTGGGGATTGGAGGTTTTCCCTGTGGACACAATCATCTTATAAGCTACAAAATACTGGTATTTACACTGACAATAATGTATCAGTCCTGTTCAATGACATAACTGTCCTTCCCTTTGCTGCCAACACATCAGGCCCCAAGCCTCCCTTACTGTCATGATCAATAATGCACCCCTGTCATGATCAGTAGTGACCCAGCAGCAATTTAAAACCTGCTGGTGTTTCTACCTCAAATCTTGCCTGGCTGCCTGGCTGCCTGGCTAACACTTTTGCCCCAAATTTTTCTGGTTTAATGAGAAGTTTGTTTGACAAAGAACCTGCCAACTGTAGCTCAGGTTGCTTTACCAGTCTCACTTCAAATTGCATATTCCTTGGTATATAGCACCATCTGTATCATGCTGCTGGCCTGTTTGCATTTGGCCAAGTCTGGGCCTAGGTCAGGGAATTTCTGTCAATCATTCACTGCCATGAGATAGAGGAGTCTGCATGTTAAACTTCACACTGCATCTAGCTGGAAAAGAGATTTATAGCCTTTGGCTCCAGAACCTTAGAGCAACTATCCCAATCAATATTATAGTCTAAAATTTTGACCTAAAGCTATTTTTTCAAGGTTTTGTACCCAGCCCACAGCTTCTCTTTAATTAAGTTGGGCTCTCTTACACATTTTTTAAAAAAATCAAAGGACCAATTAATGGGTCTTTACCACCAATATATATAACTAGTTCCTACCTCTCCAAAGCTTCAACTCTCTCTCTCATACAAACATGCACACATACACAGTTGCACTATTAATTAAACTACATTCACAAAATGTATTAATGTGCCTTTCTCCCAAGCTAAACTGTGTACTTCTAATAGATAGAAAATGAGTCTTATGCATGTATGTTCCCTGCCTTCTTGGGTCTAGCACATGACCTGGAACAAACTCGTTTCTTGACTACTCTCTTTGAATGATTAAATCCATAAACACATGTGTTAATTCCTTTGAAATCTGTGTTACTAAGGTAAAAGAGGTGTTCATTAATTATTTCCAAGCTCAAACATTTGTTTGAAGACTAAAGTAGGAGGAAGACAAGCATCAACAAATTCAGAGCTCCTTTAAACGGGACTTCAATGGCAAATAAACATGTTCTTTCTTTTGACAGTTATGAAGTGAAGAAAGGTCTTGACTGCTCAGTTTCATGTAGATCTGAATATACACATCTGGGTTGAATTTTCCCAAGTGACTATAGCCATGAAAGTGTTAAATCATATTCATTAATGAATTCATATAAAGGAGACTCATGCTCTTAATCATCCTGATATTAGGAAGATAAAATTTGGAATTATTATTGGAAATGGATGAAAGTTTCAATTGGGTATAATGGAAAGTAATGCAGAGCAGCAATGAGCTCTGAAATCACGCATTTACAGCCTATAACTTGAAATCTTGATATGTTTAAGACGTAACAACAGCTTGTAAAAACTCTTGAATACTTTCTGTACTTCTCTTTTTTAAGCCTATGAAAGTGTAAACTTGATAAGTTAGGGAATATGGATCTTTTAATAATGAACACACACTCATAGTGGGTATCCAAAAACATATTATTGATTGTTTTATATATAGATTGGAGAAATAAAAGTAATGAGAGTAGACATGCTAGAATATTTCATATATCCATGAGGTAGTAACTGGATAAGACCTATCCTCTTATCATGAGTTGCTGTAGCACTGGACACATTCTTTGAGACAGCTGTTTCCAGGCACTGAGCAAAGCTGAAAAAAAAAAAAAAAAAAAACCTTTGATACTTAAGAGAGGGAAACACATGGGATAAGTCATTTTTCAACCTGGTTTCTGTCTGGGGGTAGTTTTCAGGATGCGATACAGGGAGGTGAAGCGTAAGTAGAGAAACAAGGGAGAAACAATACAAATGGTGATTGACTTCTTACTGGAAACAATGGCTGCCAAAATCAGGAATATCTGCTCTTCAAAAGACACTATTACAACAATAAAAAGATCAATCAAAGACTAGAAAAAAATATTTGCAAATCACAAATTTGAGAAAGGCTTATGTCCAGAATATATGCTTCAAAATCAGTAATATGAAAAATAATTTTGAACAGGTACTTGTTAAAGTAAAAGTTATTCATGACACTCACTAAAGAATGGTAAGAAAGACTTTATTTAGGACTACTGCAATAGGTATATGGATTACTGCAATGGTGTTTTGCAGTAGAGGGAGAGGGACTGGGCTCAACTCTGAATACAAGGAAAAGTGGGAATTTATACACAGGGAGTAGAGAGGGGGATCAGTAAATGGAAATTATTAAGGGGAAGCATAACTGGTGAGGGGGATCAATAAATGGAAATTATTAAGGGGAAGCATAACTGGTAAGGGGGCGATTCTGACTAAACAGACCTAGCTATATTTTTGCTAAAGACAGGCCAGGGTAATCAGACCTGGGGGGCTGATGAGAGACAAAGATTTCGTTTGATATCAAGGATGTAGGATTCTGGCTAAATCAATTTAGCAGGATTCTTCCCCAAATTGGGCAATGAAAAGATGGACATGGAAGTCCAAAAGTTGAGCCTTAATTAGGAAGATAATGCAGAGAAGCCCGAATAAAGTTTGGTCAAGGAGAAACTCCTTGTCATACTTCACCAAAGAAGATGTACAGTTGGCAAATTAGTACATGAAAGTATGCTGAATATTATTGATCATTAGGGAAATCAAAACTAAAATGATGAAGTACCACTGCTCACCTATTAGAACGGCAAAATAATTTCTGATAAGTACTGGTAAGGCTATGAAACAACTAGAAATACATTGCTGGTATGAATGCTAAATAGTATAGCCACTTTGGAAAACAGTTTATTGGTTTCTTGTAAAGTTTAGTGTTCAAAACAATCAGAAACTTCACACAAGTGAAATAAAAATGTTAAGTTTACAAAAAAAATCTGCTCATGAATGTTCATAGTGGCTTTATTCACAATCACCAAAATTTGAAACAATAGAAATTTTTTTCCAATGTAGAATGAACAAAAATAATGTGGTATATTCACACAATAAAATACTACTCAGCAATAAAAATGAATGAATTGGCCGGGCGTGGTGGCTCATGCCTGTAATCCCAGCACTTTGAAAGGCCGAGGTGGGCGGATCACGAGGTCAGGAGATCGAGACCATCCTGGCTAACACGGAGAAAACCCGTCTCTAGTAAAAATACAAAAAAATTAGCCAGGCATAGTGGAGGGCGCCTGTAGTCCCAGCTACTTGGGAGGCTGAGGCAGGAACCCGAGAGGCGGAGCTTGCAGTGAGCCGAGATTGAGCCACTGTACTCTAGCCTGGGCGACAGCACGAGACTCTGTCTCAAAAAAAAAAAAAAAAGAATGAATTATTGATATATCCAATGACTTAATAGATCTCAAATTTGTTATGCTAAATGAAAGAAGCCAAATTTAAAGGATACATAGAGCATGATTTCATTTATATGCTCATGTGGAAAAGACAAAATTATATGGACAGAAAATAGGTCCATAGCTACTAGAGGCTGGGAGTGGGAGGACAGGTTGAATTGAAAGGGCCACATGGAAATATGTTTTGGGTGATGGCTGTGTTCTATATAGTGATTAAGGAAATATATGACTTTATCTGTTTCTGAAAATAGTAAAATTGTATACCTAAAGGGTAAATTTTACTGTTTGTAATTTGTACCTTAAAAAATGAAAAACACAGGATGTATAATAGCCCTTTTCAGATAAAAACTGAAGAAATTTGCTGACAGCAGATCTGGCCTCTGAAAGAAGATAAAGAAAATCATTCACTACAAAGAAAAATGATACTAGAGAGAAACAGAAATCAATAACAAAATGAAATGAGACAGAAACGGCAAATATGTGGGTAAATATAAATGCTTTTGTTTTGTTTTTTAGTTTCTATATTTTTAAAAAACTAATATTTGAAGCATAAATAAAATATAGTAATGTTTTACTTAGCAATAAGATACACTCTAATAAATGCTTTTGGTTTTTGTTATTTTTAACTTTTATCTTAGGTTCACAGGTTCATCTGTAGGTTTGCTATATAGGTAAACTCATGTCATGGGGGTTTGTTGTACAAATTATTTTGTCACCCAGGTACTAGTCCTAGTATATTTATTTTTATTTTATTTATTATAAATATTATATATTATTTCATATATATTATATATAATAAATATCATTATAAATAAAAATATTTATTTTTCCTGATCCTCTCCCTCCTCCCATCCCCTACCCTCAAGTAGGCCCCAGTGTCTGTTCTTCCCTTCTTTGTGTCCATGTGTTCTCATAATTTAGTTCCCACTTATTAGCGAGAACATGTGGTATTTGCTTTGTGTTTCTGTGTTAGTTTGGTAAAGATGATGGCCTCCAGCTCCATCCGTGTTGCCGAAAAGGACATAGTCCCATTCTTTTTTATGAATGCAAAATATTCCATGGTGCATATGTACCACATTTTCTTTATCCAATAATCCATTGGTGGACATTTAGGTTGATTCCATGTCTTTGCTATTGTGGATAGTGGTACACTGAACATATGCGTGCATGTGTCTTTATGATAGAAGGATTTGTATTCCTTTAGATATATACACAGTAATGGGATGGCTAAGTCGAATGGAAGTCTTTTTTTTTAGGCCGTTGAGGAAACTCCACACTGCTTTCCACAATGGTTGAACTAATTTACACTCCCACCAACAGTGTGAGAGCGTTCTCTTTTCTCTGCAACCTTGCCAGCATCTGTTATTTTTTTACATTTTAGTAATAGCAATTTTAACTGGTGTGAGATGGTATCTCATTGTGGTTTTGATTTGCATTTCTCCAAGATCAGGGATATTGAGCTTCTTTTCATGTGTTTGTTGGCTGCATTTATGTCTTCTTTTAAAAAGCGTCAGTGGGCACAGTGGCTCACGCCTGTAATCCCAGCACTTTGGGAAGCTGAGGCAGGCAGATCACGAGGTGAGGAGTTCGAGACTTGCCTGGCCATCATGGTGAAACCCCACCTCTACTAAAAATACAAAAATTAGCCAGGCATGGTGGCGGGCACCTGTAATCCCAGCTACGAGGGAGATTGAGGCAGGAGAATCGCTTGAAATCGGAAAGCAGAGGTTGCAGTGAGCCAAGATTGCACCACTGCACTCCAGCCTAGGCAACAAGAGAAAAACTCCATCTCAAAAATAATAATAATAATAATACATATAAAAATAAATAAAAAGTGTGTGTTTATGGACTTTCAATAAGATTTTTTTTCTTGTAAATTTGTTTAAGTTACTTAAAGATGCTGAATACTAGGCCTTTGCCAGATGCATAGTTTGCAAATATTTTCTCCCATTCTGTATATTGTCTGTTTGCTTGGTTGATACTTTCTTTTGCCATACAGAAGCTGTTTCACTTAATTAGATACCATTTGTCAACTTTTGCTTTTGTTGCAATTGCTTTTGGAGACTTTGTCATGAAATCTTTGCCAGTTTCTATGTCCAGAATGGTATTCCCTAGGTTGTCTTCCAGAGCTTTTATAGTTTTGGGTTTTACATTTAAGACTTTAATTCATCTTGAGGTGATTTTTTGTATATGGTGTAAAGAAGGAGTCCAGTTTCAATCTTCTGCATATGGCCAGCCAGTTATCGCAGCATCATTTATTGAATAGGGAATCTTTTCCCCATTGCTTTTTTTTTTGCTGGTTTGTTGAAGATCAGGTAGTTGCAGATGTGTGGCTTTACTTCTGGGTTACCTATTTTTTTCCATTGATGTATGCCTGTTTTTGTACCACTGCCGTGCTGTTTTGGTGACTTATAGCCCTGTAGTGTAGTTTGAAGTCAGGTGGCATGATGCCTTCAGATTGTTCTCTTTGCTTAGGATTGCATGGCTATTCAGATTCTGTTTCAGTTCCATATAATTTTTAAAATAGGTTTTCTAGTTCTGTGAAGAATGGCATTGATAGTTTGATAGTAATAGCATTAAATCTGTAAATTCCTTTGGGCAGTATGGCCATGTTAATGCTATTGATTCTTCTTATCCATGAGCATGGAATGTTTTTCCAATTATTTGTATTATCTCTGATTTATTTAAGCAGTGCTTTGTAGTTCTAAATGAGATCTTTCACCTTCCTGGTTAGCTGTATTCCTAGTTATTTTATTATTTTGATGGCAATTGTGATTGACACTACCTTCCTGATTTGGCTCTTGGTTTGGGTATTGTTGGAGTATAGAAATGCCAGTGATTTTTATATGCTGATTTTGTATCCTGAAACTTTGCTGAAGTTGTTTATCAGCTGAAGGAGATTTTGGGCCAAAACTATGGCATTTTCTAGAAATAGAATCATGTAATCTCTCAACTGGGATAATTTGAGTTCCTCTCTTTTTATATAGATGCCTTTTATTTCTTCCTCTTGCCTGATTGCTCTGGACAGGATTTCTAATACTATGTTGAATAGGTGTGATGAGAGAGGGCATCCTTGTTTTGTGCTGGTTATCAAGGAGAATGCTTCCAGCTTTTGCCGATTCAGCATAATGTTGGCTTGGTTTTGTCATAGATGGCTCTTAATATTTCAAGTTATGTTCCTTAATTGCCTAGCTTGTTAAGGGTTTTTAACATGAAGGATGTTGAATTTTATCAAAAACACTTTCTGCATCTATTGAGATAATCATGTGTTTTTTGTCTTTACTTCTGTTTAGTAATAAATCACATTTATTGATTTTTATATGTTGAACCAAACTTGCATCCCAGGGATAAGACCTACTTAATCGTGGTGGACTAGCTATTTGATGTGCTGCTGGATTCAGTTTTTAAGCATTTTTTTGAGGATTTTTGCATCAATGTTCATCAAGGATATTGGTCTGAAGTTTTCCTTTTTTGTTGTGTCTCTGCAAGGTTTTGGTATCAGGATGATGCTGGCCTCATAAAATGAGTTGGGCAGGAGTCCCTCCTCCTCAATTTTTGGGAATAGTTTCAATAGGAATGGTACTACCTCATCTTTGTACATCTAGTAGAATTTGGCTGTGAATCCATCTGGTAAAGGGCTTTTTTTGGTTGGTAGGCTACTTACTATTGTTTCAATTTTGGAATTTGTTTTTCATCTGTTCAGGGATTCAATTTCTTCCTGATTCAGTCTTTGTATATTGTATGATTTCAGGAATTTATCAATTTCTTTTAGATTTTCTAGTTTATGTGCATAAAGGTGTTCATAATAGTCTCTCATGGTTATTTATAGTTCTGTGGAGTCAGTGGTAATATCCACTTTGTCATTTCTAATTGTGATTATTTAGATCTTCTATTTTTTCTTCTTTATTAGTCCAGCTAATAGTCTATCTATCTTATTAGTTTTTCAAAACACCAGCTCCTGGCTTTGGTAATTGTTTGAATGGCTTCTCATTTCTCAGTCTTCTTCTGTTCAGCTCTGATTTTGATTGCTTCTTGTCTTCTGTTAGGTATGGGGTTGCTTTTCTTTTGCTTCTTTTGTTCTTTTAGTTGTGATGTTCGGTTGTTAATTTGAGATGTTTCTCACTTTTTGATATGGACATTTCCCTCTTAACACTGCTTTAGCTGTGTCCCAGAGATTCTCCTATGTTATATCGTTGTTCTCAATAGTTTCAAAAAAATTCTTGATTTCTGCCTTAGTTTCGTTATTTACCCCCAAAGTCATTCAGGAGCAGGTCATTTAATTTCCATATAATTGTGTGATTTTGAGTGATTTTCTTAGTCTTGAATTCCGTTTTTATTGCACTGTTGTCCCAGAGAGTGGTTGCTATGATTTTTCTTTTGCATTTGCTGAGGATTGTTTTATGTCTGATTGCGTGGTTGATTTTAGAGTATGTGCCATGTAGCAATGAAAAGAATGTATATTCTGTTGTTTTTGGCTGGAGAGTTCCATAGATGATGTCTGTCAGATACATTTGGCCCAGTGTTGAGTTCACTTCCTGAATACCTTGGTTAATTTTCTGCCTCAATGATCTGTCTAATGCTGTCAGTGGAGGGTTGAAGTCTCCCAATGTTATTGTGTGGAAGTCTAAGTCTCTTTGAAGGTCTCTAAGTACTTGCTTTATGAATCTGGGTGCTCCTGTGTTGAGTGAATATATATTTAGAATAGTTAGGTCTTCTTGTGGCATTGAACCTTTTACCATTATGTAATGCCCTACTTTGTCTTCTTTGATCTTTTTTGGTTTAAAGTCTGCTTTGTCTGAAATTAGGAACGCAACTCCTACCTTTTTTCTGTTTTCCATTTTCTTGGTAGAATTTTCTTCATCTCTTTATTTTGAGCCTATGGGTGTCATTGCATGTGAGATGAGTCTCTTGAAGACAGCATTCCTGTGGGTCTTGCTTGTTTATCCACTTTGCTACTCTGTGCTTTTTAAATGGGAGCATTTAGCCCATTTACATTCAAGGTAACTATTGATATTTGTGCATTTGATCATGTCATCATGTTGTTAGCTGTTTATTATTCTGACTTTTTTGTATGATTGCTTCATAGCGTCACTGGTCTATGTACTTAAGTGTGTTTTTGTAGTGGCTGGTAATAGTCTTTCCTTTTCATATTTACTGCTTTTTTCAGGAGCTCTTTTAAGGCATGTCTGGTAGTCATGAATTCCCCCAACATTTGCATGTCTGAAAAGGATCTTATTTCTCCTTCCCTTACGAAGCTAAGTTTGGCTGGATATGAAATTTCTGATTGGAATCTTTTCTTTAAGAATGTTGACTATAGGCCCCCAATCTCTTCTGACTTGTATGGTTTCTGCTGAGAGGTCCACTGTTAGTCTCATGGGCTCCCCTTTGAAGGAGACCTGTCCTTTCTCTCTAGCTTCCTTTAACATTTTTTTCTTTCATTTTGACCTTGAAGTGTCTGATGATTATGTGTCTTGGGGCGAGATTCTTGTGAAGTGTTTTGCAGGGGTTTTCTGCATTTCCTCAATTTGAGTGTTGGCCTCTCTAGCTAGGTTGGAGAAAATCTCATGGATGATCTCCTTAAATATGTTTTCCAAGTTTCTTCCATTTGTCCTATCTCTTTCAAGGATGCCAATAAGTCATAAATTTGGTCTCTTTACATAATTCCATATCTCTCATATATATTCTTCATTCGTTTTCATTCTTTTTTCTCTATTCTTGTCTAATGACTTTATTTCAGAAATCCAGTCTTCAATCTCTGAGATTCTTTCCTCAGCTTGGTGTATTCTGCTGTTAATACTTGTGACTGCATTATGAAATTCATTTAGAGAGTTGTTCAGCACTATCAGGCCAGTTACATTGTTTTCTATATGGATATTTTGCCTGTCAGCTCCTGTATCATTTTATTTTCAGTCTTATCTTTCATAAATTGGGTTGCAATGTTCTCCAGTGCAGAAGCTATGATGCAGGAGGAACCTGGGGGCTGCACTGCAAACAGGTATGGTCAGATTGGGGCCCCAGCAGAGGCCAGCTGACAAAGGGGTGCTCAGGTCAGACTAGCCCTGTCTTGTGCAAGACTGTCCTGAAGAGTTCAGCTCTGATAGTTCCCCTAGGGAGAAATTATCCTATGGGTGCAAGTTGAGCTAGGGGATGTGTATCTCTGGCCATGCTCTTCTAGAGACACTCCTGTACTAAACTCTCTGGGCTGCAAACTGGCTTGAGTTCTGCCCCTACCACTACTCTAAGCAGCTTTCCCTGCTGACTCAAGTTGTGGTGGTCAAGGAGTCTCCTCCTGCCGGGATATCAGAGACCCATGGTGAGAACAGGTTCCTCCTTACCTATTCAACTAATTCCTTCCCTGAGAGTCCCTGGAGGCCAGGAATGAGTCCCAGTATGCCATAGCCCCATGCAGTGTTCCCAGCTTCCTCCCCACTCAGCCAAGCATCTGCTCTCCATCTGCTCTCAATGATTTTCCTATGAAGATCTACTAGGAGTGTGCCAGTGTTCCCAATGTCCCAGTCCCTAGGTGGGAGATGTTCCTCTTGGCTGCATCTAGTCCACCATCTTGGAAAGAGAACCTAATAAATGCTTTATTTGGCAATTTCATTGTTGTGTGAACATCACAGAGTATACTTACACAAACCTATATGGTATTGCCTACTGTATACCTATGATATATGGCATAGCTTAATGTTCCTAAGCTATAAACCTATGTAGCATATTACTGTACTAAATACTGTAGGCAATTGTAAGGCAATGGTAAGTATTTGTGTATCTAAACACAGCAAAGGTACAGTAACAATATGATAGTATAATCTTTTCAGACCACCATCATATATGCTGTTAGTCTCTGAAATTTCATTATGTGATGCATGATTGTATTTTACTGCAGGATTTTTGATGTATGTAGAAGTTAAATGCATGACAACATAGCACACAGTATAAGAAGGAAAGTAGAATTACACTTTTGTTAATGTTTTGAATTTTATACAAAGTTATATAATATTCATTCTAAGTAGATTGTGAAAAGTTAGGGATACAAATTATAATAAAAAATAATGAAATAAGGATTAATAGGTATGAATAAAAATCCAGCAGAGGATATAAAATAATAGACTAAAATATTAAAATAACACCAAGAAGCAGTAAATAAGGACAAAAGAAACGAATAATGTGTGGGACAAGTAGAAAACAAATAGCTTAGAAGGAAGACAAATAAATCATATCAAAAATGTGTCAATTCACTAGGAAGACATCACAATCCTCAAAGTGAATGAACCAAATAACAAAGTTACAAAATAGATGAAGTGAAAATTGATGGAACTAAAGTAAGAAACACAGAAAGCCATAGTCATTGTTGGTGAGTGCATTACCCTCCTCAGTAACTGATAAAACAAGTAGACAAAAGATCATAAGGCTGTAAAATCTTTCAAAAACAATGTCAACTTACTGAATCTGATTGACACTTATAGATCACCTCAATTTCTGAACACATTGTTTTTCATGT
Organism: Homo sapiens; assembly: GCF_000001405.40. NCBI lineage: Eukaryota > Metazoa > Chordata > Mammalia > Primates > Hominidae > Homo > Homo sapiens. Next base: position 34,602,945 of record NC_000023.11, read on the forward strand.
ACACATGGGATTTCTGTCAAGAATGACAATTGCGGGGTAATAAAATATGCATTGATACACTTGAAAAGACTAAACACTTATGGCATATGTTCTTTGAACATAACAAAATAAAGTTGAAAATGAATAATAAGAAAATATTTAGAAAATACCCCAAACTTTGGAAATTAACCAACTTTTCTAAATAACTCATGGGCCAAAGAATGCATCACAAAGGAAGCTAAAAATACATCAAATTGAATTTGAATGAAAGCACAGCATGCCAAAATTTGTGGAATGCTACTAAAGCAATACTTACAGGAAAATGTATACCTTTGCCTGCATATTTTATAAAATAAATAAGATTTTAAATCAATGATTAGTTCACTTTTCCCATTTTAAAGGCTTTACACTACCTAATTTCTATCTTTCTATAATGCTACAGTAATTGAGATGTTGTGGTATTATAAATGGATATACAAATAGCTCAAAAAAACAGAATATAGCATCCAGAAAAAGACTCACATACAATCAATTTTTAAGAAAGAGCTTAATGCCATTCAAAGAAGAAGTTAATTTGAACAAATAGGGCTGGAGCAACTTAATAAATATAGGGAAAAACTAACCTTGTCCCCTTTTTACCCAGTGCACAAATATTAATTTGAGATGGATTAAGACCTTAATATAAAAGCTAAAACTGCAAAAGTTTTTAGAAGAAAACATTACAGAATATTTTGGGGAACACAGAGTCTGCACAGATTTCTTAGAGTGGTCACCACAAAAATATATTCAGCATAAAGAAAAATGATAAATTGGACTTCATCAAAATAAAAGTCTGCTTTTCAGTAATCATCCTTATGAAAATAAAAATGCTAACCACAGAGGGAGTGAAAATTTTAGCAACACACATGTCTGCAAAGAACTTGTGTCTAGAATATATAAATATCTCTCAAAAATGACTAATAAAAAATGGACAAAATACTTGGACAAATACTATATAAAAGAAGATTTGTAAATAGCCAATCAGTGTATGTAAAGATTCGCATGTTATTAGTTATCAGGGAAATGGAAACTAAAACTGCAGAAATACAAACACCTCAGAAAACTGGTTGACAATATTTTAAACAGTTAAACACATACCACTCATATTACTCTATGATTCCACTTCTTGGTATTTATTTAAACAAAAAACAAATTTGATCACACAGACTTGTATGTGAATGCTTATAGTAGTTTTATTCAAAATAGTCAAAAATGGGGAATAATTTTAAAGTCTTTCAGCAAGATGGTACATAAACTGAGATATATTCAAATAATGAAGTAATATTTAGCAATAAAAATGAACTACTGATACACAAACCAACATGTATGAATCTCATAGAAATAATGTTGACATTACTTGGAGTAGAATAATCCCACTCTTCTGTATTTGTCACGAGATGTGATCATTTGCAAATCTGCCTGTTTCTAGAGGAAATATACAAAACACTACATTTTTATGATTCTATTTAGATGAAGTTCTAGAACATGCAAATTTAACCGATGGCAATAGAAATCAGAGCAGTGATTTCTTATCAAGGGGAATATGATTAGAAAAAGGAAGCACCAGGGTCTCTTGACCTTATATTGAGTGGATATAAATTACATGTGTGTATATTATATGTGAATGTTTTTATTACATGTGTGTATATAAAATCTCATGAAATTGTGATACAAACAGGAGACAGGAAAATACTGGATAGAAGAGGGCAATTCCCTGGCAAAGGCCCCACCCTCGAGCCTGGAAACCCACAGCCATAAATGGGAATAGGCATTCCTGTTTTCACATACAAAGGTTGCCTTTTGGTCCACCACATCTCCCTATCCTGTACCAATATAAACCCCAAACCCCAGGCTCCACAAGCAGATGAGCAGATAAGCAAATGCACAGAAGAGCAGAAGAGAAGAGAAGAGAAGAGAAGAGAAAAGAAGAGAAGAGAAGAGAAGAGAAGAGAAGAGAAGAGAAGAGAAGAGAAGAGAAGAGAAGAGAAGAGAAGGAGAGAAGACAAGGAGTGTATGAACTTCGAGAGGAGTTCAGCTGAGGATGATCAGAGAGGAGATTGGCCGCTGAGCAGCCAAACTCCAGAGGAAGATCATGTTTTCACTCCATCCCACTTCCAGCTCCCCATCCTTCCTACTGAGAGCTACCTCCACCACTCAATAAAACCCCCGCATTCACCACCCTTCAAGTTTATCTGTGACCTGATTTTTTCTGAATGTCGGACAAGAACTTGGGATACAGAAAGCTGTCACACTGGCTCACTGCCCTTGCGAAAAGGCAGAGAGTCCACTGAAATGTTTAACACTTAAGCCGTCTGTGGGAAGCAAAGCTAAAAGAGCCCAAAGTAACACATACCCACTTGGGTTTTGGGAGTCTCAGACATCCATCCCTAGATGCTACCATCGGGCCAGAGCCCAAAAAAGGGCTCACCCCAGCTCCTGCACCTGCCCCTCTGCATGTTCACCCTCCTGTAAGGGGTTTGAGTGCTGGACATACGAGCCACACCCCTGTCGCATGTCCTGCAAGGAAGATCAGGGAACTCTCCCATTTCAATTGTACATTTACAGTCTGTTCATTTCACTGTATGTAAATTTAACCTTGATAATATTTTTAAGTTTCAAGTTAATTTGTTGAGAAAATATATTTAGACTGATTAATACAGAGGGAAATTTGCCCAACATACAAGAATTCCTTTTCTTTTTTGATCTAGTTTTGTTTACTTGCAAAAATTTTACATGTAGTTTTGAAACCTCAATTCAAATAGCCGTGTGTTCTGTGGCTCTGTTCTTAAAAGTCATTCAGCATCACCAAAGCACATATATTGATTTAACAGTCAATATTAGCTTTTAAGTATAATAGATATATACCATGTAACTACTATTATTCATATATATCTAAGTTATCATTTATGTGGGAGAAGGTTATTTAATTTCTTTTACTCAAGGATTTAAAAAATAGACCAGGAAGATTATTGAATAAATGCTCAAGATGCCTTGTAATCAGCAGTGTTGGATAAAAATCAGAAAAAAAATCTTTTAATTACATTGGTGGTTTGGATAAAATGAATTCAAACCTTTTTACTTATTTGGATAAAATGAATTCAAACTTTTACATTACTTAGAGTAGAATTATTCACTCCCCTGCATTTGACATCCCCTAAAGGAGATGTGATTATTTGCAAATCTGACTGTTTTTAGAGGAAATATCAACTATCCACAACTATTTGCAGTACTTAAGTTCAGCGGATCTAAAGACTCTTGACACAAAATATTACTAGGCATGACATCAGAAATTTACCATGACAGGTTGCTAAAAATTTAAGGGGGGATACACTATTTTTGTCTTGATTAGGATGCCAGCATTCATCTGTACTAGCTAATCTCAACAAGGAAAGGTATGGGGGAACTTAGATGTCTGCAGCTTTCAGCAATTGGTTCATCTATCTGTTTCCAGAATAAGTGAATTACTTATCAGTGACTCAGCACGTCTCTGGTGTTTGAAGGTGTATTGCACAGATTAAAATGGGGGTTTATTTGTTTCTGGAGCCAGGAAACAAATCCAATTAAATGATTTGAAAAGATTTTTATTTCTGAAAGTTATGAAAAATGTCTTTAATATAAAAATTGAGTGTCTGCATTTTATGAACCACCCTGTACTTAGACTCCAATGTATTTTCAATACTTGCCTTTTCACATGTTAATGGCTATTAAATGCCCATGTGTTGTAAATAAAATTTCAGAAGATATTAGAATAGGAAATAAAAATGAAAAAAAAAAAGCTGAAGCTACACTTTCTCTTTCCTAACAGAACCTCAATTTTGTTTGGGTATCTACTCCATCTCCAGCTCCACATGGAATGGCTATTTGATGATGGAATCAGTGCAGTATTTCTCTTGGCTATTCTTGTCCAGATAAGTTATGTAATCTAAGTTAACTAATCAGAGTTAATTATATTCATCTTTTGGAGAGAAGTCATTCTGTTTTGTTTCAATGAATAAATTAAAAACTAAGCATTCCCAGGTCAGACACGGTGGCTCACGTCTGTAACACCAGCACTTTGGGAGGCCGAGGCGGGCAGATCATGAGGTCAGGAGTTTGAGACCAGCCTGGCCAACATGGTGAAACCCCGTCTCTACTAAAAATACAAAAATTAGCTGAGTGTGGTGGCATGTGCCTGTAATCCCAGCTACTTGGGAAGCTGAGGCACAAGAATCGCTTGAACCCAGGAGGTGGAGGTTGCGGTGAGCCGAGATCGCGCCACTGCACTCCAGCCTGGTGACAGAGTGAGACTCTGTCTCAAAAAAAAGTAAGCACTCCCAGTTGCCATAGGCATGCTCCTGAAAATAAGTTGATATTTAGGAGAGCAAAGTAAAGAGATGCATATTTTATTGAATCATTGAAACACTGGTGTTTCTGTATTTGAAGCCTGCCCTACCTCTAATCTTCCTGGTATGCCGAGAAATGTATTTCCTTATGGTTTATGGAATTTGATTCAGTCTTTCTTATCTTTTTAAAAAAAATTTATGTAATTTTATATATTTTAAGTTTATTTATTTATTTATTTTAAAAACAGAGTCTTGCTCCATCATATAGGCTGGGGTGCAGTGGCTTGATCATGGCCTCAAACTCTTGGACTCAGGCAGTCCTCCTGCCTCAGCCTTCTGAGTAGCTAGGACTACAAGCAAAAGCCACTACACTCAGCTAACTATTTGTAGAGACAGAGTCTTGCTATGTTGCCCAGGTTTGTCTTGAACTCCTGGCAACAAGCTATCCTCCTGCCTCAGCCTCCCAAAGTGCTGGGATTACAGGAGTGAGCAACTGCGCCTGGTTAGTTTTTCTTATCAAAAATATTCTTCTAAACATCATGAAAGTACCTCGTTATATATACTTGGGCCTTGCTTCACAGTAAAATATTTTGCTGTTGGCCTGAGTTTTGGGCTAACATACTCATAGTTTATGGATCTTGTCTACATTGCAAGCAACAGAGAAAACTTGAATATATTTTGGTTTATACAGTGTAATCCAATTCTGAAGGGGTTACCAAACTATCTTCAAGAATACAGATAGTAGCATATGTTGATAGGTCAGTGGCACCAAAATTCTCAAAATTATAAAAAACCTCAGGTGTGAAATAAAGCCTCAAAATCAAAATCTCCCAAACACAGCGTCAAACAATCATGAATTGAACTCAAGAAAATTGGACTAAAGTATAACAATTTTGGAAGAATAAAGATTCAAAAAGGAGTAATTTCTATTTTATCTGCTCTCTGACTATTGAATGATAATAGGTGCCAATGGCCTTGTTGAAGTTTTCTGTTAGAGAATTGTGGTTCAATTTCATTCCAGAGCATGAGATAGTGGTAAAAAAATAGAGAGGAGATTATGTTAAGTGGGAGAAGCAGAAAAAAGATGACCTGTGCTTACGTTCCATCAATACAGAAATAATTTTACAATGCAGGCTTAACTTTCACAAGTTAGGATTGGGAGGGGCTGGAAGAAAAAGATCTAGCTATGTTAATAGAGATTCTTTATAGATGTAAATTTTCCGCCACAAAGGACAGCTTTGCAGGGCCATTTCAAGATATGGCAAATAAACGTGTTTGGGGGTAAAATATTTTGACTTTCTTCTTTGTCACATAATGTTATGCCAGAGTCAGATTGGAAAGTAAGTCACGATATATAAGGTTCAATACAACCCATCTGATGAGAATTTGTGGTTTGCAGGGCATGACTCTCCAGAGCCCTTAGATGGGAATTTGGGCAAGATAAAGAAATCAGAGCTTAATTCTCATCTACCTATTAAGCCAGGTTGCAGTTTGTCCACAAGGACTCAAATATAGAGGTATGGAGTCCTTCTCAGGCCATATTTAGTTTGCTTTGACACTAAATTAGGAAGAAAAATACAAATTGAGTTAAGCTGCAGTTCTACTTTCCACAGTAGTAGAAAACAGTAGAACATCAGGTTTGAAATGTGAGATTTGATTTTGGTCAAGTATTCTAAGCCCAAAGAGAAGCAAGTAGCTAACAATGATATAATTTTCTGAGACACATTTGGAAGTTTCAGAAAAGCTATAAAGATTGATTTATCTTGGGGAAATGAAATAGGGTGAGGATGGAAAAGAGAGAGATTTTAATAGTGTATTGGTGTTTACAAATGCAGGCCCAGATTTAGAACTTTGAAAAACACAGTTAAATTGTACCAGGCCAATCTCCTGAATGGCTCTGAGCAGTGAGGTACTTGACAAGTTGCAGAACAATGTTTCCCAAGCACTCATGGTCTTTCCTACCAAACTAGGTCTGTGGTGTTTGGATATGAAGTTTATTTTTTCACAGACATTAAAAATCCTAAGGTAATCTTTAATTTCTCTCTCCATCAAATTGTAAAGGAAGAAATAAATTTAAAGTTCTAAATTGCCCAGATTGTTATCTAACTTTCTGAATTTGATAGAATACAGTTAAATATATTTTAACTGTCTCTAATTCAATGAAGGATCATGATTTGAAACCCTCAAATAATGAGCATCTACTATGCTTTGCGTTTTGCATGAATTATCTGAATTAATCCTTACTATGTCTCCATAAGATTTATTTCTATTATAATTCCCATTTTACAAATGAGGAAATTGAGATTTTAATTTGTTCAAAGTCACTATGCTAGCAAGTGGATGATTCAGGACTTAAATTCTGATCTGTCTTACTTCTAAACATTTTAAAACATATGTTGTAACACAAACTGGGATACACATAAACGATTTTTTTAAAAAGTGAATAAATGATACTGGAAAAAATTAGAGTAGAAAATATTAGGCAACAACACAGGTTCGTGAACTTTTCTTTGAGATGTGTGAGTATGTGCACAGCATGTGCATATGAGTTATATTAAAATCATATTTCTGACTGTACCACAGTAAAAAAATGAAAAATACTGCTATCTATACTCTTGAATCAAAATGATCTGTGGCAATTATAATACGCAAAAGAAGAAAAATCTTAAAGTACTATGACTGTCAGATTTGATTGGTAACTTCCTCAGATTTAGAAGCTGTATAGGCTATTTTTTTATTTTCTCCTTCACTAGATAGATAAGCAGATATCTCTCAGATGGTTCTCTGAATTTTGCAATTCAGAATTTGATCAACAACTCTGGGGTGCTTAAGCGTATACAATATCTCATTTGATGCCAAGCAGCACTGTGAGTTAGGGCTCGTGCAAACATTAGAGACAAGGACACAACTTAAATACCTTTTTCACATGTCACCCAACTAGTACAGGACAGAAATAGGAAACAAATATGGATTCAATGATGCCAACCCCTTTTCACTCTCCTCACCTGCATATGGGAGGTACTCCATCTACACACAACTTTTAGATTTAGAGCAGAAAACAGGATGGTTATGAAGAGTGAGTCCTTACATCACGAGTGTAGATATGTTGCTATGGCTTGTTGTACGAGTATTAAAGGTATTTCCTTCTTCTTTTTTTTTTTTTTTGTTTGAGATGAAGTCCTGCTCTATCACCCAGGCTGGAGTGCACTGGCAGGATCTCGGCTCACTGCAACCTCCACCTCCCAGGTTCAAGTGATTCTCCTGCCTCAGCCTTCCGAGTAGCTGGGATTACAAGTGCCCACCACCAGCCCGGCTAATTTTTCTGTTTTTAGTAGAGACGAGGTTTCACCATGTTGGTCAGGCTGGTCTCGAACTCCTGACCTCAGGTGATCCGCCCGCCTCGGCCTCCCAAAGTGCTGGGATTACAGGCGTGAGCCACTGTGCCTGGACAGGTATTTCCTTCTTGATTTGACAGCATCAGGAAAATAAATCCAAAGGGTCATTCAGTTTAGAGAACAATAAGTAACACAGAGTCCTGCAGTCTGGAAATTACCAGTGTGTCAGGAATGAAGAATCCTTTGATGCTGACCTTTGTGGTAACAGGAAGTGGGAAATTAAATTGGGACTATTTTAAGTAAGATGCTAATTGATAGGCCAGGAAACTTAATTTAGCAACAATATATTTTATGAGGAGGTTCAATAGCTTATTGCTCTTTACAAATCTCTTATTCTGAATTATATAAAATGTTAATTATAATTGGAATAATAAGTTGATTCTGATGGTCATTAGTCAATGCACTCAGTAGAGGCCTTCTGATAGATGGCAGACAGGACAACTCTAGAAATATTTTGATACATCGTTTAGTGCTAGATATATTATAGGCACATATGGAAAAAGAACCCACCTGTAATTTATCTGTTCACCTAGCTCAAATATAATTAGATATACAAATAAGAAATAAACGTGAAAAAATACAACCACCATGTTTAGGAAAATACAAGTGAGACAAGAATGAAATACTGTATTTTGAACACTGTTGTTGGGAATGTAAATTAATACAGCCATTATGGAAAATAGTGTAGAGGTTCCTCAAGAAACTAAAAATAGAATTACCATATGTTACAGCAATTCCATTTCTGGGTGTTTAACTGAAAGATCTGAAATCAATATGTCAAAGAGATGTCAGTACTCCCATGTTCATTGCAGCACTATCCAGAATAGCCAGGTTATGGAATCAAATTAAGCGTCCATCAGTGGATGAGTGGATAAAGAAAATGTGATGTATATACACCATGGAATACTATTCAGCCCTAAAAAAGAATGAATTCTGTCATTTGCAACAACATGGATGGCATTAGAGAATTTATGCTAAATGAAATAAGCCAGGCACAGAAAGACAAATACCACATTTTCTTACTTATGTGTGGAATCTAAAGCAATTGAACTCACAGAAGCAGCAAGTAGAGTGGTGGTTACACAGAGGTTGGGGGATGGGGAGAATAGGGAGAGTCAAATAACACAAAGTTTCATTTAGGAGGAATAAGCTTGATTTTTTTAAATCAATTTCACAACGTGGTGAATATAGTTAATAATTGAGTTCTGTACATTTTAATATAACTAACAGAGTAAATTTCTAATGTTCCCATCCCAAAAAATGTTAAATATTTAAGGTGATGAATATTAATTTGATTAAGCTTTCCTCATTGTATTCAAAAGTTATGACACCAATTTTAACCTCATAAATGTATACGACTATAATTTGACAATATATACTAAAAAAATAATTTTTAAAGAATAAAAAACCATATTTAGTCATAACTCACAAATTCTCAAGTGCTTTTGAGATGGCTTTCCTGAAAGTACTAATATAGTATTTAGCTACTACCAGCTTCATTTCCATTTCTAGGTGCAAGTAACCAGGAGACGGAATGCTACAGTGTTATTGTTGGCAAAAGTCCAGGTCTTTCAGTTGTCAGTACTCCCTGGCAATGCATGAGTTTTATGACATTAAAGAGTTAGGAAATTATGTCTTCGTGTTATACATAAATTGATGTCAAAAAATTATTTACCTATCACGAAGCATCTCAAACTACAGCTGTAATATAAGACAAGACACCTGGATTTCGAATCAGAAGACTATACTCAAATGAAAAGTTAAAATATAGTAGCTGGGTAATGTTGAAAATTACTTAGGCTTCAGTTTCTTTACCTGAAAATGATAGATGATAATTCCTTTTTACAACATGTTGTAATATTTGAGGTTGAATTATATAAAATTGCCAATATTTAGTCATGTTTATGTACAAAAATGATAATTTCATTTAGATCAACCTAATAGTAATAGCTACACACTTATTAAATCTTTGTTATAGGTATTTTGCTATAGTTTACATGTTACAGTAGATTACAATGATGGTATATTAGTCTGTCTTTACACTGCTATAAAGAATTTCCTTGAGAATGGGTAATTTATAAAGGAAAGAGGTTTAATTGACTCACAGTTCTGCATGGCAGTGGAGGCTTCAGGAAAGTTACAATCATCGTGGAAGGGGAAGCAGGCACATCTTACATGGTGGCAAGAGAGAGACAGAGAGAAAGCGAGGGGGGAAGAGCCCCTTATAAAATCATCAGATCTCATGAGAACACACTCACTATCACAAGAACAGCATGGGGGAAACCAACCGCATGGTCCAATCACCTCCCACCATGTTCTTCCCTCAACACCTGAGAATTACAATTTGAGACGAGATTTGGGTGGGAACACAGAGCCAAACCATATCATTCCGCCCCTGGCCCCTCCAAAATCTCATGTCCCTTTCACATTTCAAAATCATGCTTTCCCAACAGTCCCCCAAAGTCTTAACTCATTCCAGCATTAACTCAAAAGTCCAAGTTCAAAGTCTCATCTGAGACAAGGAAAGTCCCTTCCACCTATAAGCCCATAAAATCAACAGCAAGTTAGTTACTTCCAAGATACGATGGGGGTACATGCATTGGATAAATGTTCCCATTCCAAATGGGAGTAATTGCCTAAAACAAAGTGGCTATAGACTCCATGCAAGTCCAAAACCTAGCGGGACAGTCATTAACTCTTAAAGATCCAAAATAATATCCTTTGACAGCGTGTCTCACACTTAGGTCACACTGATGCAAGGGGTGGGCTCCTAGGGACTTGGGCAGCTCTGTCCCTGTGGGTTTTCAGGGTAGAGCCATTGTGGCTGCTTTCACAGGCTGGCATTGAGTGCCTTCAGCTTTTCCAGGTGTACGGTGCAAACTGTCAGGAGAGCTACCATTCTGGATTCTGGAGGATGGTGGCCCTCCTTTACAGCTCCACTAGGCAGTGCCCCAGTGGGGACTCTGTGTAGGGGCTCCACCCTGACATTTCCCTTCTGCACTGTCCTAGCAGAGGTTCTCTATGAGGACTCTGCCCTTGCAGCAGACTTCTTCTTGGACATCCAGGCATTTTCATATATTCCCTGAAATCTAGGCAGATATTTCCAAACTTCAATTCCTGACTTCTGTGCACCTGAAGGCCCAACACCACATGAAAGCTGTGAAGACTTGGGGCTTGCATCCTCTGAAGCAATGCCCCAAGCTGTACCTTGCCCTCTTTTAGCCACAGCTGGAGCTGTAGTGGCTGGGATGCAGAGCACCAAGTTCGTAGGCTGCACACAGCAGTGGGGCCCTAGGACAAGGCCAGGAAAACATTTTTCCCTCCTTGGCCTTGAGGCCTGTGATGGGAAGGGCTGCCATGAAGGTCTCTGACATGCCTGGAGACATTTTCCCCATTGTCTTGGTTATTAACATTCAGCTCCTTGTTACTAATACAAATTTCTGCAGCAGGCTTGAATTCCTCCCCCAGAAAATGGGGTTTTCTTTTCTACCACATTTTCTTGCTGCAGATTTTCTGAATTTATGCTCTGCTTCCCTTTTAAACATAAGTTTTAATTTCAGACCATCTCTCTCAAGTTCAAAGTTCCACAGATCTCTAGGGCAGGGGCAAAATGCGACCAGTCTCTTTGCTAAAGCATAGCAACAGTGACCTTTGCTCCAATTCCCAAAGAGTTCCTCATGTCCATCTGAGACTACCTCAGCCTGTACTTTATTGTCCATATCACTAACAGCATTTTGGTCAAAAGCATTCAACAAGTCTCTAGGGAGTTCCAAACTTTCCTACATCTTCCTGTCTTCTTCTGAGCCTTCCAAACTCTTCCAACCTCTTCCCATTACCCAGTTCCAAAGTCACTTCCACATTTTCAGTTTATCATTATGGCAGCATCCCACTCTACTGGTACCAATTCTCTGTATTAGTACATTTTCACACTGCTATAAGGAACTTCCCTGAGACTGGGTAATTTATAAAGAAAGAGGTTCAATTCACCCACAATTCCACGTGGCTGGGGATGCCTCAGGAAACTTACAATCGTGGTGAAAAAGGAAGGAGGCACATCTTATATGATGGCAGGTGAGAGAGAGAGAGAGAAAGCAAAGGTGGAAATGCCCCTTATTAAACCATCAGATCTTGTGAGAACTCACTCACTATCATGAGAACAGCATGGGGGAAACTGCCCCCATGATCCAGTCACCTCCCACCCTCCCTCAACACCTGGAGATTACAATTTGAGATGATATTTGGGTGAGGACACAAAGCCAAACCATATCAGATGGCTTCAATTTTTTATCCCTCCTGTATTTGTGTTTTTTTGCAATTTACATTTTCAGTGTCCTCTCATCATGAGTGGGCTGACTTACCCTGTCCCTTCAGTCTGGGCTCAACGACTTGATTTCTTTTGGTCAATGGCATATTAGCATGTTTGAACAAGCAGAGGCTTGAAGTGAACTCATGCAATGGGATTATCTCTCTTTTGTCATGAGAATATGTCTAGGATAGACTGCTGGAGAACGAACACATATAGAAGAGAGCCAAAGATACTATGTCATCTTAACCTAGGCTATCTTAGGTTATGGATATCCAGCCAGTCTACAGACTTGTTGATGAGGCCAAGCATGATTAGCATAGCCAGCTTCTAGCCAACCACAGGTATAGTTGTAGACCACTGAGGAGTTATTTTGCTATACATATTATTATGAAAGTAACTAATGAATACAAATGATTATCTCATTTCATCTACCCAATGCATCTGTAGGCAGCAATGTTATCATCACTGGACAAAAGAAGACACTGAGACCCAGAGAAAAGTTCAGTAAACCACCCTGGGTCACATTACCAGACAGTAAATGACAGAGGCAGGGATGAAATTAGGGAGCCTAGCTCTAGAGGCCATATTCTAACTAGCACACTGCATAGCTTTGTTCTCGTGAAGATGAAATGAGATTATTTTTTGAAAGTACTTTGTTAATGTTAAAGCACACTAAAAATATAAGGCATCATTATAAGGCTGCAACTCCTTTTCAAGGATGTAAAATTCCAGCTAAGTTTTTCTTTATCTCATAAAAAAATAAACCCCAGGCAAGCACTAGATGATTTAAAATGCACTGTTCTTTGATATGCCAGTTACACAGAGAAAACTGATAAATGGTGAAATTTAACATGCCACCTTCCTTCCAAATCAATGATAGACCGCTGCTATTTGCTAGGCAAATACCAAGTAAACAGAAAAATAAAGCCACGGTTTTCTTGGCAAGTGTCATTAAAAATAGATTAAGTTTACAGTAAATGTAATCTGTGATATAGATCACATAGACAAAAAAAACCTGAAGGGGAAATGAAGGCATTAATAAGAGATTTCTTAATTTTATGAAGCGTTACACACATCAAGCCACTGAACCAAAATAACCTCAGGGAATAGTAATGAAACAAAGCATTTATTCCTCAGCCTAGAGGAGGCATGTAAATACAAATGATGCTAAACGAAAAGCTGATTATGCCTTGAAATTGGAATAAATATAAAAAAGAAAAGTCTGGAGATGCTAATAGGTATTAAGTTTATGAGCTGTGACTTTATTTACATGGAATATTCTCTTTGGGCATGAATTTTTAAAATTCCATTTGATATTTCATGTTTCCTGTATTGAAATCTCCCAGAGTTATTATCTTTTGGAAAAAAATAAAAATAGAATTCTGCACTGAGTGAAATGAGTAATTAGGAGCATGACTGGTGAAGTATGGGATCTAAGCTGAGCAGGGCATGACTAGAAGAGGAATTTTTTGATCTGGAAGGTTTTTGTGTGCAGTATTCTTTTTTTAAAAAAAAGAAAACACAGAAATTGCCATTTTTAAAAGGGAGAAAGAAAAAAATGGATGTAAAAGAAGAAGAGAGAAGACAAAACAAAAAAGAACCCAAAAGAAATGTATTCGACAGAACAGGAAAAGAAAATTCTGCTTTGGAAAGGGTAACTGAGACTTAAATGATTTATACACAACCTGTTGTTGCATAAATGTTTCCAAAAAACCTTGGGTTTGATTTAACTGGTTCTTATTTTAATCATCTGCTTCTCTGGTAATTGTCACCTATTTTTTTCTATTCTTTAAATAGAAAGGAAATTTAAGGGGAAGAGAGAAAGAGAGCAGAAGAGCTTTGCTTTGGAGTGTCTTTACATTCTTTAATATTCAGCTTTGAGCTCAAAGCATTCACTCATTCACTCATTCACATATTCGTCAACTTAACAAACATCTACCGAGTGAAAGGTTCATTTCTCATTGGCGGTTGGCATATACAAGCTCTACTTAGGGAAAACTTACCCTGCTGGATTAGATTTAGATAGCACTTTTCTTTTCTGACTACCACACTTTAGTAATATTCCATCACCTTTTTCAAGTGAAATTCCGTGACACTTAGTCTCCTCATACTCTACTTGGTCAGCTGGTGTAACTTTGTTTTGCTCCTGCTGAATTTTACCTAACCATCATTGCTTTATTGTCTTATCCTGTCAATAATTTTTAATACTGAGGCTATAATCCTATAATACTATCTAAAAATTCTTATGTATTCTTTAAAGTCATTGAACAAATTTTCAGCAGTCCGGATGACTAAAATATAAAAAACAAAAGAAACCAGAAAAATTGGCACTCTATTACATAGCTAGTGAGCAGGCAAATTGGTACTACCACTTTGGAAAACTGCTTGGGAACATGCTAAGCCGAACATGTAAATTTCCTATTACTCATCAATTTTATTTCAAGTTTTAAATATGCAAAAGAACTGTATCTACAGTTTTATCAAGGGATCTGTTCAAGAATAATTATAGCATCAATATTTGTAATAGTCCAAACTGAGAGCAACCTGTATGTCTAACCATAGTAGGATGGATAAATAGTAGCATCTACATATAATGGAAAACTGTACATCAATGAGAATGACCAAACTACAGCTATATGCAATGACAAAGATAAAGCTCAAGAGCATAATGTTGAGCAAAACAAGACAGGCACAAAACAAATACTCCATGAGTCCATTTTCCTAAGTTCAAAAGACTGACTAAATAAAACTGATGTAGAGAAATGAAGAGTTACATGCTCAAGCTATTTTTAAAAGGTGGACAAGGAAATGACTATCTCTGGGATGGGCAAAATGGAACTACAGTGATAATATGAGCATGAGAGATCTCTAAGGTGCTGGCAATTTCTGTTTCTTGATCTTCATTACGATTAAATGAATGTTCACTTTGTGATAAATCACTGAGCTCTACATATGTATTTGTGCACTTTTTTGTTTGTGTTTTATTTTACAATAACAAGATTTAAAAAACAGTAATCAAAATGTCATGTAGGGAAGGACCCCTTCAAGATTATCTTCCAGCTCATCTCCAGTCCTGAACCTAAGCTGCGATTAAACATCATAATTTTTTAAATGGTTGCTTTTATAAAGAGCAAATGTTTCAAATAAACTGCTTAAAGTCTTATCTGTTTTTTAACCTTTTTTTTTAAAAAAAAAATAAATGACATATTAGCTTGGAAATGCTAGTCTGGAAACATTTTTCAGAAGAAGATTCATATGTAAGTCTTCTAAAATAAAAGGCATTAAAGAATAAGGACTAAGATATGTGAGACAATTGATTTCTTTTTTTTTTTTTTTTCGAGGCAGAGTTTCACTCTTGTTGCCCAGGCTGGAGTACAATGGCACGATCTTGGCTCAGGGCAACCTCCGCCTCCCGGGTTCCGGTGATTCTCCTGCCTCAGCCTCCCAAGTAGCTGGGATTACAGGCGTGCATCATCATGCCCAGCTAATTTTTGTATTTTTAGTAGAGACAGGGTTTCACCATGTTGGTCAGGCTGGTCTCGAACTCTTGACCTCAGGTGACCCACCAGCGTCGGCCTCCTAAAGTGCTGGGATTACAGGTGCTAGCCACCAAGCCCGGCCGATGTACTTAAATCTCAGATATTTTAATCCTAAGAGGTAACTGTGAAGTGAAAGTCCTTTACTTAAAAATAAGTAATAACTATATTTCATCAATTCTAAAACATATTTTTACATAATGAAATCAGAGTGCATCTTATAATCAATAATATGCTTAATTTCTGTCAGCCTAGATTGAAGTCAAGGTCTTTCAGAGAGAATTTTCACTTGCTTTGGCCAGCCAACTTCGGGTACTAGCCACCTGAGACCACTTTAAATTAAATTCTCTGCGTGAGGTGTTTTGGGTCACACTGGTAATGTGAATTCAGACCTCAAACCTGCCTAAATACTAACTGGTGGTTAAAATTTTCCACCCTATGCCAAGGTTGAGATATGAAAGTTCCCTTGCTATTTCTTTCTCTGTGGCCACACTATTGGGTCATGTAGTGTTGCAATGAAGGTATAGCCTTTGGTGTCTCTGTTTTATTTAGGGAGTTCCTGTTTGATCGCCTCTCCACAAAATCTTGGTTGCATTATTTCTTTCTTATTGGTACATAAAATCTTACAATCACTGGTGCCTTATTTTATACAAAATACAGGTTACAGGTAATTAGAGATTTGGTTTTGTTTCCAAAAGAAAATATTTAGCCCAGAATTGGATAGGAAGACTCAGATTGACGTTTACATGTATCATTTTGCTTAAGCACACATTAAATTTGATCAAAATCTTGCTACATACTCTATATTGTTAGTAAAAGTATCAGGTTGCAATAAGATTAGTGAACTTACTTTGAGAACTGTAAGTAATACCACAATATAAGGAATAATTATTTCTATGTGCATACTGCACTCCCAACTTGAATTCTAAGACCCTAGAAGTCTAAGATTATATTTTTAGTAATGTCCTGCTGCCTTGTACAGTATTGGGCCCATATTAAAGATGCAATAAAACTTGTTGAATGGTTGGAGAGCTGAAAAATGAACATATGAAATGAAATACAGTTGTAAGAAACACAAAAACTTCTGTAAATTTGTGTGGGTGTGTGTGTGTATACAACCGAATGCAAAGAAAAGGTCAATATCAGGACACAAGAGCAAAGACAGCTTCTGAGTCGATCTTCATTATGAAAATGTCTTGGCCTTGCCAGGATTTGATATTATGGAAGAGTGCTTGGGAGGAGATTGGAAATCCTATCTACAATGCTTGCTCCAACAGATTCAATTCACAGCCTTAGCAGGTAATAAAAGAAGCCTCTGGACCATGTAAGAGATTGCTCTGGCATAGCTAGGTGCATTGGCCATTTTATGTATTAATGCCAATCTCAGATAAATCACTTTTCTGGTCTGCTGTGGAAGAAAAGTGGATATTTCTTTCAGTAAGCGAATGGAGGATTACTGACTTGCTGACCTTTCCTGACTGTGATAAAAGATTACTTATTTCCTGTCAGCAATACTTCAAAAATGGAAATTGCTCTTTTAAAAGTACTATGTAAGAATGAAGTAGGGAGCCAGCTATTATTCCATAAATAGATGGTGGCAGAGGGCATCCCTTGGGAAAGGGAGAGTTCTCATTAGGCCTATTTTTCTGAGAGCTGTCAGTATGCATGTATTTGCATTTAAAGATTGTGGAGAAAGGAGGAAGCAAGTCTTGACCGGATATATTTTTAAGACTCTATTCTTATTCCTGCTACACTTAAATATAGTGTGTAAAATACAGCACTCTTAAATGCCTCATGCTATGTTTGTTATGTGGATTCTTATGTGATTTTCCTGATGAAGGAGTCAGGAATGCAAAATTATTTTACCCCACATTGTAAGATCCAAAGCAGAATGGAAAATAACAAGGCATGTATTTTCTTTTGACCCAGGAAATGTGACAGTTTCCTAGTATTTCAAAGACAAATAGCTTTTGCTACGCAGGCCATAGGAAAAGGGAATGGGCTAAAGGGTTAGAGTTTTCATTATATATGTCCAAGAGTCTTTTGAAGGCTTGAGAAATGTAAACAAATGAGAAAATTATAATGTAGACTACATAGTAATATCAAATACTGACAGAACTAAAATGGCCTGTCAGAAGTCCCCCCCATATTGCTCAAGTCTTTTTCTGTCAATCAAGTCTTATAGGGCTCTTCTTTCCATGGCAAAAGTTGTCAAAATCATCCCTTTGTCTTGTGTTCTGAGTGTATGTGGCTTTGCTACCAAACTTGAAGATACTGTTTACAACAAATTAGGGATGGTGTATTATACCAGTGGATACTTTTGATGATGAATCAATTTGTCTTAAGGGCCTAAGGCTATCTTCTGTCATACAGAATCAGAAAAATATCCATCAAAGCTTGATTGTCCATCAATCAATAGAACTTTGTTTTTCAGAATTAAAACTTCTCGAAGTGGAGGAAAAAAAATAAAAAATCTTCTCAAAGTGGATGCTTTTCTTTGGCCGCGGAAAAAAGCTGTGGAAATGACAGATAATTTGATTGCCTGTAATACACTGTGATTACAGCTATCAAAGTCATTCTACCACATAATTTAAACACCTAATTTCTTTTATTGTTTCTTTGCAAAAAAAAAAAAACTTTCCTTTTTTTGTAGGTGTTTATCTATGTCATAGGAAGCTGTCCTTTATTTGAAGGTCTTTATCTATGTCATATGTGCACTTGAGATTGGAATACATACAAGTCATAATCTTTTCACACACAAAAAAGAGAATAAGCAGATTTGCCTTTAGGAAACCTGATAGCAAGAGAGGGGGATTTTACTTCTCTTCTTTTATTTAACCCCAGGCTGACTTGGGAACACAAATGTAGAGACTAGGTCCTGACCTTGGGTTCAGTTGTCCGTACTTGTGTATAATCATTTTTTCATATGCACAGTCACTATGTTAGCCAAGGGATGATCTAACAATAGTTGTAACTGTTAGGCTGACTTGCTTAAGCAGTCATGTAGGTCAATTCACCAGAGATTTGGATGAGTAGAATCGTTGTCCGTAGTCAATTAACATGTCTGCTTCCACAAGTTTGGTTCTACCTGGGCTTGATTCACCTGAGCCCAAAGTGGCACTAGAGTGAAGGCGGTAGAAACCCCATTTGGTAGTTATTTGTGTGAGATATTATTGTAACATCCTCAAGAGCAGCCATAAGCACAAAGAAACAGTCAACTAAACTAGCATTACTGAAGAACACACATGAATGATGCTCTCTTATAGGCCAATGCAGAATGCCGATGTATCCTAAAGATAAGATGGAGAAGAAACTACCATGAGTGATTTCAGAGATTCCAGGACAGTTTTCATGTCATCTGAGAATGATTGATTTTCTCCCCTTAGCACATGACTTTGATCCGGAGAAAAACAAACACAAAAATGTAGAATTAATCCTAAAATGTTTTTTACTTAGTTATATTTTACTGTAAGACAATTGGAACCAACTTTTGATGGGACAGTAGAGAGTGCTTGGCACTCCCGGGTGGGATGGGAAGTTTGTAAACAAATCTTTGTGTACTTTTCAATTCCTTTTTGGAGAGTTAGCACAACATGAATATTGAACCATTTAAAACAAGGGTCTTCGTCAAGATTCTCTTGCATCCAACTAAACCTGGTTTAATCAAAACAGGAAATTATTGGAAGAACACAGGAGTATTTTATGGAATATAAGGCAACTTGACCTTACTAGGAACTGAGACCACCCACTCTTGTTCTCTTGACTACTTCTCTGTGCATATCTATTTCATTTCTTTATTCTTCCCAGTTAGTTTTCTTTGCATCTCTGCACACCCCAAAGCCCTGTAGTTTACGCATTTTATTACTAGCTACATGCAGAGACCAATTCCAAATTAATAGGCAAGAGAAACAGAGTGGCTAGCTAAAGGCAGGAACTATCTCTGTGTAATCATCTTTGACCAGGGGTGTAGGGTCATGTGGTACAAATGTGACTGCCTGCCAAATCTTCTGTTTGTCTCTAAGAAATAATTACGGGTGGAGCATAAACTCCAAAGTTAATCAATTCCATCAACCAGTCAGATTTCTACTCTTTTTTTTTTTTTTTTTTTTTTTTTTGAGACAGAGTTTTGCTCTTGTTGCCCAGGCTGGAGTGCAATGGCACAATCTCGGCTCACTACAACCTCTGCCTCCTGGGTTCAAGTGATTCCTCAGCCTCCTGAGTAGCTGGGATTACAGGCACCCGCCACCACGTCCGGCTAATGTTTTATATTTTTAGTAGAGACAGGGTTTTACCACAGGGTTTCACCATGTGGGCCAGGCTGGTCTTGAATTCCTGACCTCAGGTAATCCACCCGCCTCGGCCAGATTTCTACTTTTTCTCATACCTGCGCACTCTTATAGCATGCAATCATGACTAAATGGCAGCACTTGGAAGATCCAAATCTTTGACTTCCTTTTCCTATTAAATAACTTCCCCCAGTTCTTACTCTTTATATTTCCATAAGTTACAAACAATTTTAAAAGTGCTCTCATTTCAAAATAGATACTATACAAACCATTCAAAGTATATAAATGTATGCAATTTATACATATTTATACTTATGAATAAAAACCAGCCCAACTTCAGGAAAATAGCATATTACAAGTGATTTCTCCATCCAAACAGCACAGTAGTCAAACAAGCCTAACTGAAGCCAAGCAGCACTTTTGGTTTGAATGAGCATAAGAGGGCTTAATTGTTGTCTCATCTTTTAGAGCATTTCTGATTCAAAGGTGTCATGCAATCATTGGTAGCAGTAGTTTGCTGTATTTTGGCTCATACTTGTAACATCCTCAAAGCTCAAATGCCTGGCTAAATATGTACTAATGTTTATTGACTGTCTGAGACAGACAGGGAAAACTTATTTTTACTCAAGCCTGAACAATGGGGGAAAGTAACTCAAAATATTCCATGTCTCACAAGTTGGCTGGAAAGATAAGTGCTAAATACTGAGGTTTGAGAAATATACTGAGCAATGCATTTTGCAAAATTCCTCTCCATTATGAAGCAGTGAAAAATGCTAATGTCTTCAAAGAATATAACTGGAAATTTTTAATGAAACATTATGTCCCTATAAGGATTCCTATATTGTCAAATTTATGCCAGTGGGTTCAAATGGGAAACAGCATTTGTACCTTGTGGTCAAACGAGAAACATACTTTTCATGATTATAAGTGTTAAATGTTTTATCACAACTTATTTTGCTGCCTTCACACAAACCATGTGCCTCAAAGAATTAATACAACTGTAATAGCTAGATAGTGTTTAAGAAGAGAAATCACCTAAAAGTTAAAAATAGGAAAACTTGTGTTTGATGTCATTAAGTTGTCACATCACCACGGAGCACTGATATGGACAAAGAGGGACCTACTCTCCAAACATGCTTTGATACAGCAGAAGTTTGCCTGGGAGAGGTTATCAAGCATGATAGTATTATCTGCCTTTTTGTTAACATACAGTATCAAAGACTAGCAAAGTAGTCTTTCTTCTCCATTTAACCCTTAACGATATAACTCTCCATTCATAAGAACCTTAAGAGAAATGTTCCCCGCTCAGGTTTAAAACAATTCCTTCGATGTCTTCGTTAACTATATTTTACTTTAAAAATTAAATAGAATGTAGGGATGATTTTCATTTATTTTACCTTTATGATGACAAATTCAAAGCAAACTGAGGGGTAGCCTATGGTACCATCATTTCATATATGTCGTATTTTAGGCTTAATTCCATGACTGACCGCTCTCATCTAGTATAAGAGTGCCTTCACATCATCATAGACGTAGCTTCATACATGCAGATGTAGCATATATCGAATTATTTTTTAGATACAATTTTCTTCATTAATCCTTGTCACATGCAAAGATTGAAGTATTCAAGGTTTCTGGTGCTTCGATGGCATGATTTTCCAGTACTTGTTCCAAGCTTCTTTTATAACCATTATTTCTATGAAGTCATTCAACTTGGAAATAATTGCTTGCCAAAACTGAGTTTCTCTGGTGAACCACTCAACACAGCTTTAGTTTTACAAAGAACACCATTCTTTGTGTGCTGTTAATCTTGGCTTAGAAACACCACATATTTTCCTTCCCAACTGAACAGTTCAGCTCCTGTTCTTTTAGTTATACTTTGGAACCATGAGAGTTACTTGTAGAATACAAATGTGAGTCACCTAGCTGATGACTTTTTGGAAAAAGATTTTCCACGTATGTGTACATATATTATATATATATGTATATGGACACTCTGCCCAGGACATCATTCAGTAGCTGTTAGAAATGTGAGGACTTCTTACAGTCCCCAAGCCTACCTTGTATAGGAAAAACTGTTGGCATTTTATTACATGGAGTTTTGTTATCTAGTCTGATTTTAACTTATTGGGATTAAGGTGCCATGGTACCATGACCCAATACTTGACATAGAAGTTAAAAAGTCAAATAAATTAGTGCTTCCTGTGAAAATACTCTTAAGCACTTAATTCTAATTTCTGGTGGGTTTTTTTTTTGTTTGTTTTTTGTTTTTTTTCTGAGATGGAGTCTCGCTCTGTCACCCAGGCTGGAGTGCAGCGGTGTGATCTTGGGACACTGCAACTTCCACCTCTCGGGTTCAAGCGATTCTCCTGCCTCGGCCTCCTGAGTAGCTGGGAATACAGGCGCGGGCAACCACGCCCGGCTAATTTTTTTTATTTTTAGTAGAGATGGGGTTTCACCATGTTGGTCAGGCTGGTCTCGAACTCCTCACCTTGTGATGCACCTGCCTTGGCCTCCCAAAGTGCTGGGATTTCAGGCGTGAGCCACCACGCCAGGCCTAATTTGTGTTCTTTTAATTTTAGTTAACATCACACTTCTGAAAAGCTATGAACAGAAAATAATAGCATGAAAATTTGATAATTTAGGTATTCAGTAGTTTAGTCTACAGAATACAAAATAATTTCACTGTCAATTTACTTTGTAACCAAAATGACTTAAAAACCATCAAAATGGAACAGTGTTGACATAGCATGTGCCTGTTTTCATAATTCAAACTGCAACAGCCCATATGGCCATTATGGAAAAGTAAATTGAAATTGCTTTTCTGTTTTATGTTCACAATGAAAGCTCTGAAGGCAAAGGATTTTTTCTTGTCAAATTCTAGTGAAACTATGTCTCCATGTCTTCCAAATTCAGAGAGACTGGGTCATGGATAATTACTAGGCAAGCCATGTTTGTAAAGGTGATTTACTCAAGAGTATGCTGTATAAAAATGAAAGTACTTATACTGAAAATACATCAAATGAACGCTGCTACTCCATCAAATTAGAATAAGGCCACTGAAAAGGAAAATTTCTAAAATGACAGAAAAACTGAAAAGGTTAGAAGTTATAACTTAAGTATGGCTACATTTGAAAGTGTGATATTAAATATATCATAGGCTTACAGGGGATTTGTAATATTTTCTTCTTAGCAAAACAAATATACTGTGATCTTTGCAAAATGTAATGGTTCCTATGAGACATGAAAAAACGTCTTGATGACAAATATATGTTTTATATTCAAACTGATTTTATCAACACAAGAAAGTTTGCTCAACTATGGTTCTATTTATATCTTCGAGAAAAATTTTTGGGCCAGGTGCAGTGGTGCACGCCTGTAATCTCAGCACTTTGGGAGGCCAAGGCAGCAGATAGCTAGAGCTGAAAAGTTTGAGACAAGTCTGGGCAACATGGCAAAACCCCATCTCTACAAATACAAAAAATTAGCAGGGCATGGTAGCACGTGCCTGTGGTCCCAGCTACTTGGAAGGCTGAGGTGGGAGGATCGCTTGAACCCGGGAGGCAGAGGTTGCAGTGAGCTGAGATTGCGCCACTGCACTCCAGGCTGGGTGACAGAGTGAGACTCCTTTTCAGGAAAAAAAAAAATTGGCATACATGCAAGTGAATTTTATTGAATGTCTAATTTAAATTGCTTTTTCACATATTCTCACCATTTATATACATCAAAGGGTGATGAATTTTGACTTTATCAGTTTCTTCACACATGCACATTGCACACACACATGCTCATGCACACACGTTCATGCACACATACTCATGCACACATACACACTGAATTTTTAGTCTTTCTAAGAGATAATACAGACAAGCTGGCTTTAACACTCTGCAAACGTTGAAAACTACACAAAGAACAAAATACCATATCAAACCCTTTGACTAATCATTTCCAATTGTGTGATTAGAGTCGGAATAAGGGAAGCCTGCACTACATCTCCTTTGAGTACATTTTAAAACAGAAGGTTATAAAAGATATTTAATAGTATCCCTTTATCACTGACCGTGCAAAGGCTGTGGAGAATAGAAGGATCTTGGGAGATAATTTGTAATAAAAAATTTAAAAATGTTTTCAAGTAAAATCAGCATGTCATATTAAGATGTTTTCTAAATAATATATATTTTGAAGGAGAAAATGTAATGAATATATGTAATTTAGAAGCGTTGTCTAAAGAGTTTACACAACAGAGACGACACAAATTCAAACCACATCCGTGAAATCACTTTTATTTTTATTTTTTTCCACATAGATGACTTCATGTCAACTACAAAAATCATGAAATGAAGAACTGATTGTGAAACTGCAAACTCAAAATCACTGGAGTGATAAACAGGTTTTCCCCCAGATGACTTAAAAAAAATAACCAGGATACCATGAATTCATGTTTAAGTAGTAAACATGTCATATATTTAAAAATAATAAATATAGAATAGCAGTACAGAAACTAATAGCATAAACAGCATGAAGTATATTTTACTTTTAAGACAGATGAAATTTCTAGGCACAGCTTTAGGCATTAAAGAGGACACAGAGGCATAGGTTAGAGTGCACTGCTCTGTACAAAAATACAGTCTGAATAAATTACATTGCTAGCCATACAATTAGACGTCACTTACCAGTCAGTTCATTGCATGTTTAATAATATACAGGTACATGCTAATCCATATATATCATTTATATTCAAACACATAAGTCTCTCTATATTTATGTCTTTAAAATTTACATGTTGAACTTACAAAAAGCTAAATAATTGTGCAAGAAATCGGAATAACTAGCCCTGCTGAGTATTTTATGCTATATGTGTGTGAGTATATATATGTGTGTATATCTATATCTATAGATGTAGATCTATATCCATAGATATCTATCTAACAATGGGTTTGTGGCTAAAAATTATGCTTAAGAACACATCTAACAAACCTAAAGCTGCAAAGACATAATGTTAATGTAGGTGAAAATTTCACTTGTGTTTATTCTGATAGACAAAATTGTATTTTAGATGAGAAGCAACAATTTTCATGTTGTACTGAGATTGTTAGTAATGAAATACTTCCAAATATTAGTGATGGTAGAAATCTAGTGTAGGGCTCTTTGCTGAGAAGGGAAAAAAGTCACATAAGAAATCTACTTTTCAGTAAACTGCAAATATGTGTGCTTCAACCTATAACATATTCTGTCACTTTGAGCTTGTCATATTGACAGAGAATGAAAACTTGATAAGACTCGAGATGTGATGATATTGGTTTAACAGTACACTGCATCCTCTACTAGGACCAAGAGAAGTGCCTCATTGGTGTCAGCACCAAAGTACTATTCTTTCATTATTCAGGAATAAAGAGATCTCAGAACAGAGAATGTTTAGTTGCTGAAATCCCTATCCAAATATCATATTTCTCATGCTGCTCTGACAATATGCAATTAACTGCAAGACACTCTGCCCCAGATTTTACTATTTCTCAAAAAATTGCTTCAAAAGACTCTATAATACTATCTTTCTGGAGAATTTCCACTCATAATTTCTAATGATTCTTTATAGAATCATATATTTTTATAAAGGTTTCTGTCTGTGATGTATTTATTCGCTTTTGTCTATCATTGCTAAAGTAAGACTAAACCTGGTACTTCATATTCGTGATTTTATAGAAAATTCATGTGTGTTTTCTAGCATTTGGATAATAAAATAGGTTTTTTTTTTTTGGCTGTTGTTTTTGGCAACCATTCTTAAGACAAGCTGAAAGAAGAACTGTGTTTTGGGAGGTAAAACAAATTATTAAATACTATCGATGTGGTCCTGCTCTTAACAGATTTTGCAATACAGTAACATATAGCTACTTTTAAAGTAATTTTTCTAATGCTTCTTTCTGCAAGAGGGCCAAAACCAGAACATACTGTTTTAGTGTCTTTGTTAACAAAAATAATTATTTATAACTTTTATATTAGAACTGTATATTTGATATAAAAATATGTTTATAATTAAGCTATCCAAATTTGTATATTAAACAGAATTAACACAAGTTTGCAGCATGAGATTAGTTGCAAACTTATTCCCTATTATTAATACTTCCTTCCATTGAACAGTCAGTAAGTAATTCCCTTAACATAAATCCATCCTAAGTGTGTGCACAAATCGGTTAGCCCATCAGTTAACTTCAGAGGACCAGGTGATAACCAGATGAATTCTACTCCTCTACTGAGACATTTAGATATTTATATAAATCTATCGCTATTCCTTTCTTAAAAAAATGAAGACATTTAAAATACTTGCAAAAAATAGCAGCCTTCTATTTTAATGAATTTTACACAAAATGATCATCCTAATTGCTACTCTCTTTTCAACTACAGTGCTTACAGAGAATCATTAATTTTCAGATTAACACCATTTCAATTTTTATTCTTAGGCAACTCTATTGACACTTTCCAGTGAAACAGTAAAGAACATAGAGCAAAAGCTTTAAGGTACCATACTTTTGTATGGTAAATAAGTATGAATACCAATCTAAGCCTCTTAACAATGTGTACAAGGTTAGTGCTCAAACCACTTCACTAGAGTAAATATTAATTTTACGTGTGATAGGCAAATGTATGTGGAGGGTTAGGGAACAACTTATTACCATTTATACTAATGGTTCACCTTCTATAAAAACAGTGAAGCTTGTTACATACGCACACTTGTTTGCTGCAATGTTTGGCAAATGATTTAAAGGGTACAAAAGCAACTCATGCAGATTTCTTTCTGTTTGCCCCAGGAAAAACAGAGATCCTCAATTTTTCCCCAGTCTAGATAGGGCTGAGGCACCAATTTCTAACCACATAATGAGAAGCACATGTCTCCAAGTCTTGACTCTCTTCCCAGGGAGACGCTGATTGCCAAAGCATAACCTCCCATTAAAAAGAGTGTTCCTGAAGGTGGAATGTGTATCATTAACCAGTTACATTCACAACTCCCATTAGATGCTGAAGGGCAGTTCATTTTTCAAGGGCTCACTCAAGCAAATAACCAACAGCCAATGTAGTCATTGGGTAGGATAAGCAGGCGGTAAGGGCTCTAACAGTGGAATCCTTGTCAGCGCAAAGGAACTTCTAAATGTTGCTTATGCCAACTGCTCCCCTGCAGGCAATAGGAGATTGAGGCAAATCTCATTCCAACTAGTTTCTCACAATGGTTGCTGTCATATAGACCCTTCATTTGTCAAGAAAAACGATATGAACATATTGGAAGTTTGCAGCATTTGCCTATGTCTAATCAGCTCTCTTAATTTGTGCAGATTTCTAAAATGGATGTAAAAGCTGGTTATGATGTTGACAGCCAAAAGGCAAAAAAGATTAAATCAACTGAGCAAACTGCTTGATGCTCCACAAGTGTTTTAGAAAATAGTAAGTTAGAAAAGATGCAGACGTAATCCTTTTGTTGGATGGTGGTGGTTGTTTTTACTTTGAGACTATTGGTTCTAGTAGTAGTCTTCATAGTTCTTAGGGTTCAGGCAATAAAGGATGGCACCCCCAAACGAAAATATAGTTGCACCCCAGGCCAGGCCATAACCCCAGTTGAACTCATGGTAAATTTTCAAGCTCACAGTTTCAATGAACTTGATTGGGTAAAGGACCAGGCTGCAAACCTGTAAAACAACTGAAAGAAAAGCAAATCAAAATTAGAAAATGTTATTTGCAGCAAATAAAATAATATAAATATGTAACTATATATGTATGAGAGTAACTTTGTAATCAAATATACATAAAAGCCAAAAATTTTAAAGATGGCTTGTTCTAGATGGTATACTTTAAAATACTAATAATTTTTTTGTTTAAATACCTTTTCCCAATATATAAGAATTATCCTATTAATTAGTAAATCATTATTAGTATAGATAAAATAATTAGTGCAATATAATAATTTATATGAGCATACAAAGTAGTGATTTTCACCTTAAAAATATAATTATCATTATTATTATGGCAAGTAGTACTAGTTAAACTAAATTGTGCCACTAATAAACCGTATAAGTAGCTCCTCAAGAATAGTGACCCCAGCCAGGTGCGGTGGCTCACGCCTGTAAATCCAGCACTTTGGGAGGCCCAGGCAGGTGGATCATGAGGTCAGGAGTTCGAGACCAGTCTGACCAACATGGTGAAACCCCGTATCTACTAAAAATACAAAAATTAGCCCAGTGTGGTGGTGTGCACCTGTAATCCCAGCTACTCAGGAGGCTAAGGCTGGAAAATCGCTTGAACCAGGGAGGGGGAGGTTGCAGTGAGCTGAGATCATGCCACTGCACTCCAGCCTGGGCGACAGAGCCAGACTCTGTCTCAAAAAAAAAAAAAAAAAAAAAAAAAAAAAAAAGAATAGTGACCCCAATGCCAACTGAAACTCTTGTTATTTATTTATGCTATTAAGGAATTAGGAAATTCAAATTAATTTCTACTGATGCAACTGGTCATCCTGTGAGTGATAATGTGCTTTTGATGTTGTTGCTGCTTTGCAATACTAACTCAGCCCAATATGCCAGAAAGTCTCACCATGATGTCTTTGCTTACATTACTCTGATCCAAAGCTACTTTCATTATTTTCTTCTCATCCACTCTATGCCTCTTGTCTTTAAAAAGTGGCTTAAAAGTTATTAACAGATGATATTTTCATATCTGTTTTCCACCTACTTTCAAAAAAGAATTAAGTCGATAAAGGCAAGAGAGATAATGGTACAGGAAAACCTAGGCCAATTATGGCTACTGTAACAGAGGTCAAAACTTAGCTCTTAGTCCCTGGTTAGATCCTACTTCTGTCAGGGCCAAAGGGGAAATATGATTAGTCATACCGAATAAAATAAACCAAAATAATCAGGAAGGGAATGTTTATTTTGTTTTTGTTTTGTTTTGTGTTGTTTCTACTATCTAAAATAAAATGAAATTTATGTTGTGGATATGCACAAGACATAATGTCTTCCACTTAAAATTCTTAACTTCCTATTAGATCAATTATTATGTAATTTTATTTTAATTAGTTTAACTACAATTAGTTAACTACAGCTTCATTCTCTACCATAGGACAGCTTCCACCCTCAAGAAATAGACAATCTTTTTCCCTAAAAAATACAGAGTACAGTTATATTTAACAGGGGTTGGCAAACTACCAAATCTGGTCTGCTTTTTGTTTTTGAAAAAGTTTTACTGGAACACAGCCACACTCATTCATTTACGTATTTTCTATGCAACAATGGCAGAGTTGAGAAGCTGCAAAAGAAACCACACAGCTCACAAAGCCAAAAGTATTTACTTTCTTGCCCTTAACAAAAAAAGTTTGCTAACCTCTGATATATGAAATAATTTTAGGGGGTAAAATAATTTTTGTTTAATTCATCTGAAAAGAACAAAAATGTGAATAATTAAAGAAAAGGAGGGAACAAACTGACATAGTAAAACTATATACATAAATAGTTTTGATATCGCTTATATGTTTTAAAAAAGAACACTAGGATGGATAGAGTGTTTAATTAAAATGGAATTTTATGTTTTAAAATGTACTCTCATCTATTTTTAGCCCATGTAAAAGATTATTACCAGTATGATGAAGATTCCTAGAAAGTCTACATAACAGTCATCTTTCTCTCCCATAAAACTGATGAAATACAGCAAATTCATGAGGAAATGATTCCTCAAAATTTCTTTCTATAAGGCTCTGGCTAGGTGTCAAAGGACCGACCTAGAACTAGATATAAAAACACCCAACATTTCTGCCGTGTAGCACAACACTGCTGAGTCAGCACTTTGCCTACCATTACTACTGAGAGTGGATACACAAGTAAGTTTGTATAAGAGGATACCCTACTGATATCCAAAATAGAAATCAGACCTTCTCAGAAAAGGTTTTGGTTGTTGTTAGGACTCAGCTGACGGCATATTGTATGACCCACACTTCATCTATTTCCAGTTAGTAAGTGCTAAAATGTGCATTAATTTTAAAAAAAGCCCAGTTGGCTCTTTGCCTTTGTGAGGAAAAGGGAGCTTTCATGTTTTAAATGTCTTAAAACTAACAAGAAGTCAATTACTATCAACCATAACTACAGAGAAGAAAATTCCAAAGTTGCCAAGTACATTTGAAAAAAAAAAGGCACTTCTCCTTAGGTTTCTATACTCTGTTCACTCGTCAAATCTGTACTGATCCTACCAGGATATGACTGAAACAAGAATGTGGGTTAGGTATAGTAATTCATTTACTCATTCAATAAATGCATCCATTCAATAAATATCTGAATGTTTCTAAAGCGATACAGTTTAAGGCATTATGCTATCAAAAGAGACAAAGCTGCTACTCTCATGGGTAGTCAGTCCATTAGTAAACAAATATAGAATATAATGTCACATATTGCTAAGAGACAAGAAATGCAAGAAAGCAGACAGAACACAGGGATGAGGGCTGCTCTTTTAGATCAATCGTGAGAGAAGGCTGCTCTGAGGAGGAGATATTGAGCACAGATCTGAATGAATTGGGGGTGCAGAACAACATAGTGGGGACTGAGCATTCCCACGTGAAAGGCATAGGCACTGCAAAACTCCCATCACAGGAGCATATCTGGTGCACTGGAACAGAAGTCAGAAGGCTGTGATTGCAGTACAGAGAGCAGGAAGGGAGAAGCATGAGATATGATGGAAGAAACAGCAGGGGCCCTTCGTGGTTCATGGACAGCCTGTGAACCATATCTGGGGTCTAGATTTTATTCTACGTGTGACAGGCAGCTGG
The DNA here is from genome assembly GCF_000001405.40 of Homo sapiens. Lineage (NCBI taxonomy): Eukaryota > Metazoa > Chordata > Mammalia > Primates > Hominidae > Homo > Homo sapiens. Next base: position 34,633,597 of record NC_000023.11, read on the forward strand.
TAGAAGAGTTTGAGCAGAGAAGTAATAACTAATCTGAATTACTCTAAAATGATTACACTGCTTCTTTTGTGAACTGACTAGTCCCTGGAGTGAGGTGTTTACCTACGCTGCTTTTAATATTCATTTCAACGTGTTTTATTTAGCAAATATTTGGCCTCCATGGTATAATATAATGATATAATTTCCCTCTAGTGGAAAAATGGAAATACAACTCCATTAGGCCCTACTGGCATACTCTCCCGAACAACTTTCTTAGACTTTTATTGTGTTGGAGCTCAATAAAAATTACTGTAAAACACTTCATGCCTCTGAATTATTCGACTCCCTTTGGAATCACAGAGAAAAATGAATGTAATAGCAAAACTGAGAAAAATATAATTCTGCATTTGTAAATAATTTTCTCCATGTAATAAAATTCACAGATGTAGGTAAAAATGCCTCCTTGCCTTTCATAGATGCTGTAGAGGGAAGAAAAAAAAAACATAAAGAGTTCAGAAGTCAGGAAAATGCCATTATACTATATTTCTATTTTACTACCAATCAATGAAACAAAATAGGCATTGGATATGGTATTCTCTATGCTCTTCCTCAAAGATAACATAGGTACAGCTCTGGAACATTTTAGAATCTTAAGAGATTTGGGGTTCATTTTATGCCCCCTGCACTTTTTTGAAAACAGGCAATGAAACTACTAACCATGAAATTGTGTGGATCAGAGGCATGACGGGAATGTAGACCTACTAATTCTTGTGTTTTATTCTAGTTTTAAAGGGATATTTTTCAGTGTTTTCAACACTAAAATATTCAAAGCATTGATATTGAAATATTCAATATTTTCTTCTAAGAAGGACATTTCACTATTTTGATAAACATATATTGGGTGCCTACGTGCTAGATGAAGGGGATAAGATAGATAAGACATGGCCCTCGCCCTTTGATGATTCATACTCTGATGGTGGAGACAGGCACACAAGTAATTATAAATCAATGCATTCAACAGCAATAGTAGAGGCATGCATGTTTGTTTATAATATGTTCAACACACATTTACTGAGCTCAAACATTGTGCCAAGTACTGATTCAGCTTAGAGAAAGAAAGGAGGGCTTCAGAGGGACATCATTTGAATTGGTTCTTAAAGGATGGATGAAAGGTGGTCAGAAGAGGCAGAGGAAAGAAAAGACGTCTAGGAAGACAAAGCATATTCTATAGTGCTTACAGCTATTAAGAGAGTATGACTAGAAGCAATTTGCATGGGTAAAATGAAGGGCGCATGCACAAGGCTGTTTAGTTCATACTATAATACCATAGTGTTTCATAAAGTAATAAACTTTTGTTTCTCTAGGGAGACCATCTGCGAGGTTATTGTAATTGTATATGCGGTTGGTGTCCTATCCATATATTTTTATCTTCCCCACTTCAGTACATGCTACCCTGACTTCCAATTGCCAGCACCTGTATTTCTTTGCCTGAGTTACCTCTGGCCACTAAAGCCTCTTCAGCTGCCTATGGGGCAGGCCAGGTCCAGAAAATTAACACTGCTCTCCCTTGATTATAACCGACATTTCTCAACCAATGACGCTCCAAATTTGGTGCATTAATACTCCAGCTCCGTAGTCCTCTGAATGAGATTATTCTCGAGGTGCGTGTTCTACACCGGTTTTTAAAGTTTCCCCAAGAAGATTAAGCTCCAGCTGCTTCGAGTGACAACTGGCTTGATAATGTAACCTTTTAATGGCTGCTTTCCCATTCCCGTCTCATTTTCCATACTCTTTATCATATCCCTTCTTCTACCTTACAAATAAAGTATATGCACTTGATTTCTCGTCTCAGGGTTTGCTTCTGAAGAAATCAAAGGGACAAGTGACAAGACCAGATGTTTATGTCACAAGGAGACCTCATGTGTTGTATCCAAGACAGATTACATGGGGAAGAGATTAGAGAAGGACAGGCCCCTAGAAGGTCATTCAGTGTGTGGGGACCTGTAGGCAGTGATGACTAAGGTGTCATCAGTGGGAAAGAAAAGTCAGGGAATCTAAAGAAAGACTAAAAGAAAGAACTGAAAAACTAGATACTCAACAAGGCAAAATAAAGGAGTCACATAAACATCTTAAAACAGTCAGATATTGCCATAGAAAAACAAAATAAAGTAGGGGAAGACCAAATTTGGGGAATGAGACGTTCCATTTAGGGAAAAGTTGTGGCCTCGACTAAGGCAATAATGATGGTGTACGAAAAAAAGGTACAAAATTAGGAGATAATTTAAAGGCAAAGGTTGATAGGCCCTACCAGCCAGGTTGGTCCCTAAATATAAAATTGACATAAAAGAAACAATGATTTGGAGAATAAAAAGCATTTGCCAGTGGAAGGTTAATATGAAGGTATCCATTTCTTTTCTTTTTAAAATTTAATTTGTAACTACTAGTGGCAGCAGTATGAAATTAATTATTGGGAAGTGATACTGTAAATTGTTCTAGCCGAAGTGTAGTTTGATAACGGTACAGGGAAATTAACATGTAATCTAAATATCCTGAATAGAAGAACTCTCTTTTAGTTTGAAATCTAAACTGGACACTGATTTTTCTACCAAAATCTAGACTTGAAATGGTTCCAGCTATCTCACTGTGACTTATAGGATGGTGATGAGGGCTGTAAGACACAAGCCTCCAATCAGAGATAGCTCAGAGATGGAAATCAGCTGCAGGACCCTGAAAAAACATCACCTTTCTATAAAAACAATCCTTATAGGAGGCTTTCTGCAGATATAACATAAAGAATCATCCTTAATAACATAATAAATGGGGATTCTGTATGTAAAATCGAATTATAAAAGAGAATTTTCTGCAATTTGTATTAAAGGCCTTGGAAAGAAAGAAAACACTCATCCTATATTCCTGTGGGACATACAAATGACCTGCGGATAGTTCAAAAGTAGACAATAAAAGAAGAGAACGTGGCAAGAGGCAGTCCCTCTAATTTCACCAAGTCTTTAGTGAGAACTGGATGCCAGTTATCAGAATCACATCATATATTACCTATCACTGTCAGTTACACAAAAAGAAATATGCTGTAGTCAACTGTACTGGAAATGTGCACAACTTTCATTATGTGCTATGGTGCAGTCATGCTGCATCAATCAGTTTGTGGTCTTTATGACATCTCAAGGTACTAAATGCCTTCAGGTGTTGCTCCCGAGAAACGGAGTAACTGGAGTTACAGGACGGACTCCAACTGCAGTGCACAGTTGGCAACTGAATTCAAAATCAAGGCTGATTCTGCACTGATTTTTCCAATATGTGATATGTACTGAAGTAAAGATAACTGGGGAATCCTCATTCGGGCTTTCAAGTCAGATAGGTATCCTGAATTTAAACCCTAGATGTACAACTTACTAGTTAAAATGACCTTGGGAAATTACTTAATTTTTCTGAACCTGTTTCTTCATTGATAATACGGAGAAAATAAATATCTAACTTTGAGATTGTTATATCAGAGACAGTGTATGTTAAGTGTCTAGCACGTGGCACATGACAGGTGCTTAATTAATCATTCTTATCAGCATTATTATTATAAAAATATCTAATTCTGAAGTCTAGATTTATAGGACTGGTGAGAAAGAGAGTTGTGGAAAAAAGGACAGTGTTTTAGATGGGCTACAGCAATGGCTAGCTCTTAGCTATTCTAGCAACTATTCAAGAAGGTAATAAGCCCGCCCTAAATAAAAGACCTCAGAGAAAAAAAAAAGAAGACAAAATCTTTATAATCTGTTTGGCTATCTTTATGAGACTTAATTATCAGTTTTCAGTAAAAACCCTTAGAGTATATTTTATAACACCAAGACTGTCTACTTGTATAGTGTAAGTGCCCAACATATTTATTAAATAAATAAAAACATAAATATATGAAAAAACATCCTTTTGATATTTATTACTTTTTTGAGGTCTTTTGGTCTTAGCTTTGTAGTCATGTGAAACTAGCTGCTTCCTAAGACCCCAAAAGAGAAATTGCTTAAAAAAAACCCTTCATTACAGTTACTTATTTGTTTACATGCCTGTTTTACCCCACCAGATTATGAGCTACATGCCTTAGTCATTTTTATATCATTCATTCAAAAACTATTTATTGAGTGTATATGAGTACCAGGCATAGCACACGGTACTAAATCAAGTAAGTGTGAAGTCTCGGATAGAGATGTTTCCAAGCGGTAGTAGTAATGTGTCTGTTTTGATTTTATGTACTGCACATGTCTCGGCAGAAAAAGGTACTTTTATTATTTTTTTTTCCTTGAGATAGAGTCTTACTCTGTTGCCAAGGCTGGAGTGTAATGGTGTGCTGTCGGCTCACTGCAGCGTCAAGCTCCCAGACTCAAGTGATTCTCCCATCTCAGCATCCCGAATAACTGGGACTAAGACTTCAAAATATTTTTTGAAATTGTGCTTTCTACTCTATTAGTGAGTATCTGTGGTGATACTGTGGCCAGTTTTATAGGTGTCTAATACTGTGTTTAGCCTGTAATAGGCATCTAAGAAATAGTTGCATAAATAAGTGAGGAAGTCAGTGGTTAATGAACCACTAGATTAAGATTCAGAAGCCTCCCAGGCCCAGGTCTGCCAGTAGCTACTATGCGATCTTGAGCAAGTCACTTAAAGATTTGAATTAGATGTACTTCTGGATTCCTTCAGCCCTTTGGACCTTCATTTTTATGACACCCCCAATTCTGACCAGCCTTCATGGGTATAAGAAAATGAACACAAACAGTAGGGGGCAGCAGAACACTTCTGTTTTGTATTTTTAGCTCCAACTACCCTTTAAATCCTGAGAAATTTCATCTATTCCAATCTTGAAACAGCTTTTAAAAATCCATCTAACAGCCTAGATGGTTTTGTCAGTGTCTTCATTATTGATAGTCACAGAAGCTTACTTTGCAGTCTTCAAATCAGATATGACTGACAGGGCAAACTGAAGGCACCACAGAATATTGCAGTTTGAGTCAAAAAGAACAATATATTCAAAGGTATTTTTATAAATGAAAATTAAAGCTCACATCAAATCATGTATTGGGCTTTTAGTCTGCAAGCCCCTTTTCTAAACAGTCCCGTCTTTTCATTTCATTGGTTGATATTTTAATCCAAGCTGTGCTTCATACAATGATGGTTGATAAATTAATTAACATACAATTGACTTCATATAATTGACTTGTCTAATGGTTGGAGTCATACATCACACATTTTCAAAGAGATATACATCTTTAAGGGTAAACATTTTGGAATTTGTTTTCAGTTCCTTATCAGAAAAAATAATGCTGCCTTAAGATCACCAGGGGAGCAGTAAAAAAGGGGAAAAAACTGGATGTAAAAGACTGTTAGTAAATACACCTGCTGCAATTCCTAAGGTAATAGCCCTGTCAGGCAGTATTATTTGTTCATGCTTTAGTCAGAGGTTTAGAAGCTGCCATTGTGCTCTGTGAAATGCTTAACACACTGAAAACTGATAATCTGATAAACCTTTAGCCAAGTTACCTTAAAAATATAGTAAATGCCTCTCAATTTTTACGTAATGCAGCAAACACATACCTCTTCTGCATAGGAAAGGAAGATGGTAGAAAGGTTCATGAAACTTTAATACTCATTTGAAAGTAATGAATCTGTTTACCTGCTGCAAAAAGCATGACCGCAACAGGTCTATAGAAACGCCTTCGAGATCCCACGCAGATAGAAATCAAACCCACCAGGAATGCAATGAGAATGATGGCAGCGCCGCCCAGGAGTAAAGCCAGAGTAGCAATCTGCCAATCTGGAAAGAAAAAAGAAATTGTTTTTGAGTAGTAAGTCCTCAAAGAATCAACAGAACTATGTTCAGCAGCCTTCACCTTGCAGTGGCTCAACAGATGTGATTTTACTGCATGCTAAGCATCCTTTGGGGTTTGAAATGTTTTGCAACAAAAATGAATAGGAAATGTCCTTATTCAGAAAAGTCTCCTATGCTAAGCTCAGCAGAGTTTTAGACCAGGGGTTTGCTAGGATTTTCTTCCAAGGACTCTATTAGGCATTCATGTTAAATCAAGTGTCCCCTCCATGACCTATTTTCAATATTATTATGATTTAAATTTTTATCGAGCAATAAAGTTCACAAATCTTAAGTATAGAAAGTAGAGAAGTTGATGAATTCTTATAGATATTTATACACCATCCAGATTAAAATACAGGGCATTTCTATCACCCAGATTTTTCTCTTGCGCCCCTTCCCAGTCAATAATGACCCTCCCACCTGGGCTACTGAGGACATCCGTCACCACAGATTGAGTTCTGCCTTCTGTTAAACTTCATATAAATGGTATGAACTATTTTGTGTCTGGCTTTTAAGTTTCTCATATTCATCCATGCTGCATGTGACAGTAGTATATTCTTTTTTTTATTGCTATTTCTTGGAAAGCCTTCCTTAACCATATAAAAATCTCCAAAGTTTTTATTTGTCTCTCCTCCACTCCCTCTAAAACAACTCCCCATCAAATTAGCATCAGGAATATTGTTTGTTTTTTCCACTTCTTTTTTATTTGATTCTAGTTTCACTGCTGTATTTACCATCACGGGTGTGGTTTCTAAAATTAAGTATTCCCAGGGAGCCAGAATGGACTCTGAATGGCTGCTCGGCCCCTTCATTCATACACGGAAACAGTAAGCATATATTGACCACTTACTATGTGCAGGCCTCTGTTCACAGATACTTCCAAACAGTTTCTCACACTCTTAGTGACACATAAACCTTATTGAAATGCATTCATTTCTTATAAAACAAAAATGTAGAAATAGTATGATGAAAAACTGGCCCATTTTCCATTCATAAGAATGGTAAAATATTCTCTCAGAAGAGACAAAGTGAATCTATGAAAGTACTATACAGGTTGGGAAACATCATATAAAACGATACTATGGAGAGCAGCAGTTGTTTAAAAGCCCCAAGCGCCTCTTCTGGCCCTCAGTTTAATGTAAGTGCAGAAAATGCAAATGGATTTTAATCTATCATTAAATTGCAATGGATTCTATCCTAAGTCCAGAAGTCATGATATTTTGATGCTTCCCTCTGAAATTATCCCCCCAGAAAGCTTCCAAAATGCACTCTTTGTTACGGTAGGATAAACGATGAGCAGAGGAATTGCCAATACCCTAAGATTTTCTTTTATTTATATTTGTACATCCCTGTCTCAAGCATCCTCTTCCACATCTTCCCCTCCTACGAAATTGTGGAAGCTTCACAGGCTCTCAACTAGAACTTGCACTGCAATCAAGAAACAAACAAACAAGGGGAAATTGAACAAATCCAAACTTCTTAAAATATAAAGATGAGTCACAACAAAGTGGAGAGCATCTTCTTAATGCCATCTATTTGTAACAAAGCCATACAACTTCAAACAAAAGTAGATCTGGCTTTTAACTAGAAGTTAAAAGGCTAGCCATACTGGGCTTTTTTATTCCATAACAGCATGTAGCTTTGAATTAAAAAGCCAAAAAAAAAAAAATAGTCCTTACATTTGAAGTCTCTAAATTTCTTGGGAAAAGTTTACACAAGTGCACAATTATATTGCACTTTGGCATGATGGAAATCCTTCTAAAAACAGGTGTGTAAATTGAAATTTCTGAATTAAAAAAATCAAAGTTTAATTATATAAAAGTGTACAATGAAAAAAATAAAATCCATCCATCCATCCATCCATCCATCTATGCAATTCCTGGAGAGTTTGATTAAGAAAGCCTATGCTCCATATGTTCTAGTTGGTCTATTACTCTTATAGAACGATTATTACTGTTAGCAACTTTCCCTAAATTATTTTACATAAGTAAAAACTTTAAAGCATTGGATTCATTTAAATCAAAATGTAACTAAATATCTACCCATATAAAATATCTTAAAGTGAAAGTGCAATAGATTGTTTTTTCCTGATTAGCTCTTTCACATAGCTCAGTGTGAAAAAAAATGCCACACATTTGACTCTTCACTTTCAGCCATAATTCAAACAGGAATGAATTTTGATCACTTTTCTCTATTTTAAATATCCTCAAAAAAATAGCTAAAATACACGTTTTGCATTTTGTAAAGACAGACTAAGGTAGAAAATGATAAGCAAACTTTCCATATAAAGGGCCAGACGAGAAATATTTTTGGATTTATGATTTATGGTCTCTGTTGTACCCACTCAACTCTGCATGATAGTGTGAAAGCAGCCACAGACAATGTGTAAACAAGCTGGCTGTGCCCCAATAAAACTTATTTATTTATTTTTTTGAGACAGAGTCTCACTCTGTCATCCAGGCTGGAGTGCAGTGGCACGATCTTGGCTCACTGCAACCTCCGTCTCCCGGGTTCAAGTGATTCTCATGCCTCAGCCTCTCGAGTAGCAGGGATTACAGGCATGTGCCACCACGCCCAGTTAATTTTTGTATTTTTAGTAGAGACTGGGTTTCACCATGTTGGCCAGGCTGGTCTCAAACTCCTGACTTCAAGTGATCCACCCGCCTCGGCCTCCCAAAGTGCTGGGATTACAGGCGTGAGCCACTGCACCCAGCCCCAATAAAACTTAATCTACAAAAACAGGTGGTGAGTTGGTTTGGACTCCATGGCTGAGCTGCTGTTTGCTAACCATTATACTTTATTTAGCATTTCAAATGTTGAACTTTTTTCTAGGCAAAGATCTTTTAAACTACAAAACACACAATGAAGTTAATTTAATAAATGAATAATACAGGAGTGCAAAGTGATGCTTAACCAATATAGCGAGAGAAAATTCCAAAAAATTCCTAATCGCATATTGCTACATTTCCTCAATATAGCAATTCTTCATTTCATTTGAAAAACCAGTAAAATGCTATAGTAGAAAGCACCAGGAGAATAAAAGTAAAAGGGACTAGAACCTAATTAGAAAAAGAACCTCCTATAGCACAGGAAATACTTCTAAAAAGTAGATAAACATAATCAGTTCTGGATTTTCTTCTAAATGTCCTATGTTTATTTTCAGCACTGAGGTTGTGGCTAATGACAAAGTTACCCTAGATGTAAAGTCAACAAGGAGAATCATCAGCATTACCACTGTTGTGATATTTCTACCTTTCCTTTGGTCCACAACCAGAGATATGACTGCTCAAACAGAAAAGCTATTTTATTTTCCAAAAGAAACTAGAAATGGGCCATGACTGCCACTGTTCTGGCCAAAACCTGGGGCTTAGACTGGATTATTGAGACTATATCCCTGGCGAATGGTGCCAAGTTTTAGAATTGTTGTCATTATATCCATTTGGAATGATTCACTCAGGCCAGTTGCCCAGCACCAAAACTTTAAATTGCTGATCAGTTTAACCTCGATCAGGAAGCTGAAAAAGTGGTTCGATATGGCTATCATAGTCAAGGAGGTCTGAGGTGCATTTCAAGGTTCAGTGTGGGTACTTTGGAGCTGCAAACAGGGCCTGTGGCATCATATCTCTTTCAGTAAACAACTAGAATCCATTGTCCAAATAATAGTGCCAGCCTAAGAGGTGAACTAAAATCAAGGACTATGTAAATCAGCCAGTTACCATTTCCCTCTCTCTTACTGAACAAGACTAAGATATGGGGAGTAAAAAAAAGTGAAAAATATTTTATAGACACCTACTAATGGCTATTAAAATAATAGGCTGGGCTTTACATTGACACAGTTAGACAGATATTTACTTACCATCCGAAGTCCAATACTAGATTTAGCAAGAACATATACATAAGACTTGGACAATTTTATAGTAATATTATAAGAGACCAGAAAACTTGTTCTACCCTGACTTTTCCACCAAAAGATTTGCATGCCACAAATACCTGCTAACCTACACTCAGTGTTTGCAAAACAAATTAAAATTTCATAAAATTCTCTGTTTCCAGCACCATTTCTTCAAAAAAGTCATGCATTTTAAGTTTTCACAATCAGTTAATTTCTATATCAATTTTAGTTGTCCAATTATAGCCTTCACAGTATTTAGTCAGATGAGTTAAGAGTCTGTAAAGATTTATTACTCTGCATTAGTTTTCTACCTTTCTATAAATAATATACCAATACTATAGTGGAACAGTAAACACAAACCAGACCTGCAGAACATCAATGAACATGGTACTGTTTTACAAATTGCAGTGCTCTGCACAATTAAAATGGGCCATTGTTCAATGTCACGCCAGCTGATTGGAAACCTGAGTTTGGTTTCTGAGACCACAGAGAACAGGTGATAATCAGTTTTGAGGAAATAACATACATCCTTGGTTGATAAATTGGTGAGGGCTCGAATGGGATGGGAGGCATGTTTTGGATCTGAAAACCAAACCTGAAATCAGGCTGCCATGTTACGTGTCAGGTTCTCTCAAAAGAATTTTGGCAAAATTGACACAGTGACACACTGGGGGCATTCAAACTGCACCGAAAGAAGTGGAGGCTCAAGATAAGTGTATGCTTCTCTACTAGTGTTTTCTATAACAGGAAAAAAAAAGTAAAAAGAAAAAAAAACTCCAGGAAAATACATACACATAATGTTATATTCCCCTTGCAGTTACAAGATAAAAATCGGGCAGTCCCTATACTACACCATCAAGTTTAACATTAACATGCAACTCAGGAACTGATTTCAAGTCCTCTTTCAAGGTATTTTTATTAGCTGGCATCAGAGTTTCCAATGTCTATAAACAGTTTAGTATTCTGCAGAATTGTGCTGACTTATTTTAGCATTGTAACATATGAGACTGGCCTGAAATCGCCACTGCATTATGAAAATTCTATGGACCACATTATAACTGTCCAATTGGAGAATTATCATTCCCTTAGGGAATTCATGATCAAAAGTCACTTCCAATTTTCAGAAAAGACAAAATTTTAACAAGGATACATTTTCGATATTTTTGAGCCAAGGGCAATGCACAAAACCAGTTCCTAAAGCTTTCTGCCTCCACTCACCTCATTTAGAAACCTTTCACTTGTCAAACACTGGCTAATTTATTTACCTCTGTAGCTACTGGTTATATGCTGAGATTCTTTCTACTATATGTAAATCCCTGAGCACATAATGCCTATTTCCTTTAGAAAATTAGATATAATTAAAAAGCAATGGAAAAACAAGTTTTTAACCTCATAAACAGAAGTCCTACTGTTTAGGTGGGTAGTATTCCCCTCAATGTATTCCGTTGTTTTTATGGATGATTCTCGCTTTTCTATCATTCTCATCACAAATTAAAACACTGATTTTTAAATCACACTCACATTTGTCAGACTGGCACTTGTATTTTCATTTTTGAACCCCTCCAAAAGGAAATTATATTAACTAAAATGATATCTATAACTGCAATAAAATAATTCACCAGACAACTTAGAACAATGATTTTTTTACCTATCATCTTGAATTACAAGTTATATACAAATTCTTCCTAATTCACCCAAACAGACTGGATTATTTTCACTCATTCCCAGCAAACATTCAGCTTTTCTAAACACTTGTATTCATTTGTAGGACATATTTATAGCAAAACATTTAAATTACATTGTTGAGAACATAGTTAAGTTAGTATTGCCAATCCCATTCTATCATCAGGAACCGGAAATAGTAGGATGGTTTAGTACTAAAGGAAAAAAGAAAGCTCAGATACAGAAGAATATTTCAAACTCACATTCCCTAAATTATCCATCTATTCACCAAAGACTATGTCTTTTTCCCAACTAGCTCACTTTGTCAGAAATTATGGCATTTAATTATTTTCACGAAATGTAACTAAAGAATTTATCTTAATATTAATGCTACGCATTTCTGAGTTTGGATAGGAAGCCTGTATCCTCATACACAAAGAATGGAATGCTATTTTGTGTAGAACCATAAACTTAGCCTAACTACTTCTAAAGGTATCAAATGATCTACTTAACTTTTAAAAGTTAGTCTGCATGTGCTAATGAGGTGGAAAACTGAAACGTTACTGAGGCAGCTTAAATCTTGGTTTATTGGCTAAGTTGCATTCTGACCTAAATTTGTCAATACTGCATTAATTTTCCACCACTCTGTGATGTAGACACAAAGAAAGGCAGCCAAATGAATTCTGATTCTAATTTCAATAATTAAAATGACCACTTCTTTTATTAAAACTGGTATCAAAACTATAATTTTTCACTTGCAAAGAAATATTTCTTTGTATATGAGGATACTGCCTTTCCATCCAATTTAAGGCAAGTAATTATTTGTATTTTATAAAATTACAATATAAATACTATGTGTGTTGTGACAAACAAAGCAAAATAGATGTTTGCCAAAGCAACTATGTTAGATATCCATAGTAGTAATCAGGTTGGCAACAATTTGATTTCGAATACTACCCTTTAGGCCCGTTCACAGATAAAGACTGCCTCCAAAGTATAGTGCTAACCTGATTTTAAACTACAGACATAAATGACTCCAGGTAACCATCCAAACAGATGATACAATAACCCTAACGACCAAAATGCGTGTTAATTTTGCCAAATTTTGGAAAATCCCGGTTGTCCAAAATGCCAGATGGGTTACTAGTGTTTAACAATGTCAATTTCATTCAAGATCTTGGAGTTGTTTTATGTTGATGTTAGAAAAAAAAACACACATACTTTTTATTTTCAACAAATAATGGAACATTTTAGCTGCTTCACAGAATTCTGTCTTAGATAATTCAGTGGAAATGTAATTAATAATCTAAACACAATAACATATGGTGTTTTTTCCTCAAATAAAACCACTTGAATACAGTATTTAGCAAAGAGCCTTGCTGTTAAGGCAAGTTCCAGTATTTGGACAAAAAGAAAGACACTATCACCCCTAATGACTGCTGTTTCTTACCATGCACCATCTTTGAAAGTTTTCATAAGCATTTGATGGTAACTAGTGTTACCTAACAAGTACTGGTATTTTTCAATAATAATTTCTAATCATGGTATTTCTACAAAGTTGTGATGACTTTGGTATTTTGAACATTGTTCTTTTTTCACTCTTTGAATAAAAACCTAATTAGGTTACAACTTGGAAAACTTGATTATTTTGAAAAGCACAAAGAAAACCTACTACTCCAGGATTAGGAGTGGGTGAAACTTCCTCTAAGCAACTAAAGTTACTGTAATGGGTTTAGGGGAGCTAAGAATAATCAAAGAGTAGAATGAAGAAAGCCAGACAGCCACCCACGATAGTATTAAGATACCCCTTTAGTAAATATGGAGGAATAAAATTGGCAAAGCTAGTACTCCCACCAGCTCCTTCTTAATGCCCCGCTGCAGAAGTAGAACCTTTGTTTTCTCCTTCACAGCACTTTGCACATTTATTTAATTATTAATAATTTGTTTAAAAGACACCATTTGTTTCACCCATCATTTTATTCTCACTACCTTCCACGATGCCTGGAACACAGACTAACTGGCTGACTTTGTATCAGAATAATGTCTACCCTCTGCTAGAAAACCAATGACTACGTTTCAATGAAGTTAACTCATTGAGTATATGTGAGAAGATGGGAAAATAGAGGGAAGCATTCGAATGTACCCCCCTTTAAGTTACCTAGAGGAGCTAAGAATAGATTCTAGGCTTCATTCACAGAGCATCATGACAGCATTCTGGTGAATATTTGGTTTAGGGACCTTAAACATGATGGCAATAAAATCTTCTTTGATGAAAATTTTAGTTCTTTTGTGTCTGTCCCTTTTTATGTACAGAGAATAAGTAATTCAGGGGTCTCGACTTCTATTTTTTTAACATGGTTTTGCCTAATAAACAGAAATTTTGAACAGAAAGTATAAATATGTGATCTCTTGAAACATGGCTCATTAAAATATCATTTTAAACCTCATAACAGTCAACAAGCTGATAGAGACAAAGGTGTTATAGATATTTTTTCTCACTTCTTTGGAAGACCATGGATGTTTCGTTGTACATTTTTTAAGTGAGAGTCTTCAGTGTCCATGATTAGAATAGAAAATTGATGATCTACAAGTGTACCCAAATCACACACAAACTTAGGAGTAAAAACATTAAGGAAAGGTGTCCTTGTCTAATTTTCAAGGGAGGTGAACCAATAGTTTGAAAAGATTAGTAAAATTGAAATGTCAGTGCCTTTAATGTGTGAGGTTGAAATTCTGCTGAAAGAACATTCAATCTTTTTGGATAAATTAATACATACTTTTAATAAAGCCAGAATGCAATTAAGTTGTTGAATGAAAATTAATATTCATTTAATCAATTTAAGAAACATACATGGTTGACTTCTACAAAATTTGGAAATTCTTTTTCAACTTAAAATTAAGCTATTGTTAGCCAAGCTGAGAGCCAAATCAGGAAGGCAATCCCATTTGCAATTGCCACACAAAAAAAATAAAATATCTAGGAATGCAGCCAACCAGGGAGGAGAAAGATCTACAGGGATAATTATAAAACACTGCTCAAAGAAAGCACAGAAGACATAAACAAATGGGAAAACATTCCATGCTCATGGATAGGAAGAATCAATAGCATTAACATGGCCATACTGCCCAAAGGAATTTACAGATTCAATGCTATTCCTATCTGGCATTCTTCACAGAACTAGAAAACCTATTTTCAAATTCATATGGAACCAAAAAAAGAGCCCGAATAGCAAAGGCAATCCTAAACAAAAAGAACAAAGTTGGTCGCATCACATTACCTGACTTCAAACTATACAACAGGGCTACAGTAACTAAAAGAGCATGGTACTAGTAGTACAAAAACAGGCATATAGACCAATGGAACAGAATAGAGAGCCCAGAAATAAGGCTGCACACTTATAACCATGTGATCTTTGACAAAATTGAGAAAAACAAGCAATGGAGAAAAGACTCCCTGTTCAACAAATGATGCTGGGATAACTGGTTAGGCATATACAGAAGATTGACCCCTTTCTTACACTACATACAAAATCAATTCAAGGTGGGTTAAAGATTTAAATGTAAAACCCAAAACCATAAACTATAAACTACGTTGTCAACCCTATAAGACAAGGTAGGCAATACCATCCTGGACATAGGAACGGGCAAAGATTTCATAACAAAGTCACCAAAAGCAATTGCAACAAAATCAATAATTGAAAAATTGGATAAATTAAAGTTAAGAGCTTCTGCACAGCAAATGAAACTATCAACAGAGTACACAACCTACAGAATGAGACAAAATATTTGCAAGCTATTCATCTGACAAAGATCTAATAGCCAGCATCCATAAAGAACTTAAATGAATTTACAAGAGAAAAATAAACAACCCCATTAAGAACGGGCAAATGACATGAACAGACGCTTTTCAAAAGAAGACATACATGTGTCCAACAAGCATATGCATAAAAAGCTCAATATCACTGATCATTAGAGAAATTCAAATCAAAACCACAATGAGATACCATCTCACACCAGTCAGAATGGCTTCTATTAAAAAGTCAAAAAATAACAGATGCTGGTAAGGTTTTGGAGAAAAGGGAACACTTATACACAGTTATTGGGAGTGTATATTAGTTTAACCATTGTGGAAAGCAGTACAGTATGGTGATTTCTCAAAGACCTAAAAAAAGAACTACCATTCAACCCAGCAATCCCATTACTAGGTATATACCAAAAGAACAGAAATTGTTCTACCATAAAGACACATGCAGGAGAATGTTCTTTGCAGCACAACTCACAATAGCAGACTTGGAATCAATTTAAATGTCCATCGATGACAGATGGGATGAAGAAAGTGTAGCGCATATACACCATGGAATACTATGCAGCCAGAAAAAAAACCGAGGTCATGCATATTGTGGGAACATGGAAGGAGCTGGAGGCTATTATCCTTAGCACACTAACGCAGGAACAGAAAACCAAATACAGCATGTTCTCACTTATAAGTGGGAGCTAAATCATGAGAACTCGTGAACACAAAGAAGGGAATAACAGACACTGGGGTCTACTTGAGGGTTGAGGGTGGGAGGAGGGAGAGGATCAGGAAAAATAATAACTATTGGGTACTAGGCTTAATACCTGTGTGATGAAATAATCTGTAGAAGAAACCCCGGTGACATGAGTTTACCTATATAATAAACATGCACATGTACCCCGAACCTAAAATAAAAGTTAAAAAAAAAATTAAGCTTTTTCAAATTTATTTTGATACGGAGTCTTGCCCTGCTGCCCAGGCTGGAGTGCAGTGGCACGATCTCGGCTCACTGCAACCTCTGCCTCCCGGGTTCAAGCGATTCTCCTGCCTCAGCCTCCCGAGTAGCTGGGACTACAGGAGCCCGCAACCACGTCCAGCCAATTTTTTGTATTTTTAGTAGAGACAGGGTTTCACCATGTTGGTCAGGCTGTCCTCGAACTCCTGACCTCATGATTCACCCACCTCGGCCTCCTAAAGTGCTGAGATTACAGGCGTGAGCCACCACGCCTGGCCCCCAAGCCATTATTTTAACGTACCCCATCATGGAGAAACTTAAAGTAGAAGTGTTTATTTTTAAGCACTAGTCATGGTTAAAATGTAAATTTGATGGTAATAAACATCTGAAATGTACTTATCAACACATATAATTCTATTTTCAGACTTTAATTCTATGTGAAATCAAATCATGGATGATAAATAATCTTACAAAAAGTGGGCAGCTATTTCACATGCAGTCCTTCACCTCTTCATCCAAGCTTCCATACATGACATCATTCAACAATACTTCAAACACCAAGTGACAGTTATCTACAATATTACAGAACATTTTAAAAACCAACCCTCCAAAAATACTATGGCAAAATGTACCCTCTCTATTGAGTGTTTAACATTGTATCCTTCTTCATTTTCCTTAATCATGTAATAAATTTGATTAGACTGGATTATGTTAAAAATCTTGTCTATTTTATTAAACACGTTACAACTCTGAGATTCAATACATGGGCAGTAGTTAAGAGAAGAGCTATGTTATTAAAACAAAGGAAAAGGAAACAAACAAAAAATAACTCTAACTCCAACACTTCTCTAGCACTATAAAACTTGGCTCCTGTCTGGAATTTTAATGTTTTAGTGTTCATGTAGCAAGCGTATCATCAGATGCATTCATAACTTTCTAAAAAAAGAATAAAATTTTATCATACAACATAAAGTAGCAAATTACATTCCAGATTCATAATCAGTTTGAGCCTTGGTTGTTTGAGACTAAACCAAAGATTTTGGAAGGTTTTACATGTATCTCTCTGTTTGTGGAAAAGTTAGGTTCTCGAGTTCATTCCATCTCATATCCAAAGTACAAGTAACCAGTCATTAAAGCCATATGCTGGCTGAGGGAAGGTTTTGTCCCAGTCAGACATTATTTATATAATCAATTCAAAGTTCTTAAGTACAGAAGCTACAAAGCAAAGACAAACTGGTTGGCCGTTTGTTGTTGTTGTTGTTGTTCTTCAAAGGCAATAAAGAATGCAGATTTGCAGTTAGACTCAGTGTCAGACTGTGTGCTCCAAACACGGCCCAACAGCAACTCCTATCCCACATTCTCTTCTACAATGTGAACTTGCCACTGCTCCATCAAAAGGTGGTATTCAATTCTCCTTCCCTTAAATCCAAGCTGGCCATATGGCTCCTTTGTAACCAACTGAATGTGGTAGAAGACATGTGTGATTTCTCAGCCTAGTTCAGAGAGATTCTGGCTCTTATGACTCTTGTCCTGCGGGACCCACTCAATTTGTAAGAATTCCAATATCCTAAGACCACAATGCTAGAAAGGCCACCTGTAGGCATTCCAGGGAGAGTCACAGCTTTGCCCAGTATCTCACAGCCTTCCCCACCAAGGTGCCAAACCTGTGAGCGAAATCATTTGGAAAATGACCCTACAGTTCCAGACGTTCTGGTTCCTAGCCATTCAAGTTATCTTCCACAAGGGCTCCAGACATCCATCCTCATTATGTCCTATCTGAATTCCTGACCCACAGAATTCATGAGTATAATAAAATGGTTATTTTACACGACTAACTTTTGTTGTGGTTAGTTTCCCAGCATTAGCAACTGGAATACTCTTGGTAAGAATCCATCTTTACCACTAGTTAATTGAGACCTTGGTAATCTTAACAAAAATCCAAAGTTTCCTCAATAATATATAGGGATAACTTTAGCTACCTTGCAAGTTTATTGTGACATTGGGAATAACTGAGGTGTCTGGCTTGTAATAGGACTGAATAAAAGGATAATAGTTTTGTGATCATGATCTACCAAGAGCATTGTTAAATGTTAGGTAATGCATATCAAAATTTAAATTTGAAATTGACAAAGTACTTCATTATGCAATTCATTATGCAATGCAGAGATTTTACTACTTAAAGGGGAAAAATCTTCAATTATTGAAAAAAGTATCACTGGGATTTTCTGAATACGTAACCAGGAAGAAACATAACACTAACAAACAGGCACTTTCATATATTTAATCTTTATGATAAACCATTTGAGGACATTAAGTTGTATGAGGTCACATGATTGGTAAGTGGCCAAGTTCAGGTCAGTTAGAATCCAATGTCTCATTTATTCTCCAACATACTACTCTACTCTGATACAGAATTACATTACAATTTAGCATAGCTCACATGGAAGTTTGTTGTGGTATTTATTTATTTATTCGGTTAGTTATTTTGGGGTAGCCCTCAGAACCAGAAGTGGTTCAGAGAGCTCCCTGCTGTGGTATTTAGGTTAGGTATTCCAGAGACACATTTTGAAGCATCTATATTCCTTTCACTAGCATGTCTAGTAGCACTGACTATATCTATGGTCTCTGCAAGTGGTCTTACTATTAAACAAAAACTTGCAGGAAATTTCTTGAAATGTATTCCCGACAGCAAGTAAAATCTATTGCTTGAGATATTCTTTTGTTTGTTTTTGTTTTGTTTTGAAATGTTTTACGAAAGGCCAGGCTTTTCCCACACCCATCAAATCCCTTAGCTGCCAAGACTGATCTAAGTGGCTCCCTGGGAATTATAATCCTTCTATGAATGTGAGCAAAAGAGAAATTATATCTGTTCACACATTAAAATGTCCTTTGTAAAAGTAAATCTAAGGAACCTGAAAATCTAAAAGACATTAAGAGAAAGTCATCAGGAAGATCTTGAAATAAGTTATACTTGGTTTTCTCTGGCTTATCAGTGGAGAAAGTTTTGGTGCTCTCTGGTACTCTTAACTGTCCACCCGTCTATGATGTCTAGGTTAAACAAAACTGCATTTATTCTTCTTATGTTCTTTTCAAGGAAGCCAGAAGTGGGTATAACAATAGTGACTTCCAGGCTTGCGGAGCTATTTGTAAAAATGCATCAATATCAACACATTTCAAGCAACAAGCTGAACCTTCCCCGGAGCAAATCACATTGTGAGGTTTCCTAATGAAACTGTGTTTTCGAATTAAGGAATAAATGCAAAATATGAACAGATGAAACATGTTTGAACTCAGAATCACTATATCTCAGATTTGCTAAGACGTGCAGGTGGTTAGGCAGTTCCATTTATCTTTAACACCTAAGATAGGCTTTCTTATAAATTCCTTTTAAAGTAGCTTTTTATACTAAAGTTAAAAAAAGATCTACATATAAAGCACTCTAAAAAGAATTTCTTGTCAATTAGAAATGATAATATTCACCTGTTATTAGCATATGGTATACTGCCATTTCAAAACTACCAATGACTCACGTTACAAATGCAGCTATTTTTAGGATAGTATGTGAATGATGTTAACAATATCCCTTGAAAAAAGGTACTATTTGATCAAGTATTTTGGGATAAAAAAAGGAAAAATGAATTTGTTATATCCCTAAATTACTGTTAGTAAAAGTGTTCATTTGGCCATCTGTATGTCCTTGCTTTCTCCTTAGTCAACAAATTACACAGACACCAAAAAGCAATCTGCTTTACATGAAATAGCTATGTATTTATACATTTTAAAGAAGAAATGTAAAGTCTCCTTAGAGGTTATAGAGCACATTTGATATCAAATTTAGGGCATCAGCATTCTGTATACACTTGTGCCAATCCTATTTACACTAAGGATTCTTGTAATTGCTGTGAAATCCTAGCAACTATATCCTAGAAATAAAGTTAGCAAACTAAATGTGACTAAGCAGAAGTCTAAAATATTACTATAATTTGTGTAAGATTTAAGGTTTATTAAAAGGTTCCCCAAAACAGTACTGGGGAAAACTACCCTTAGAAAGAATTCTGTGGCCGGCAGCCATGTGAGTACTGCGTATTCTAAACTTCCTAACAAGCACACTTTATTTTTTTTTTCTCTTTCCACCATTAATCACAGTCAATTAGCCGCTTTCTCATATGTCTTTCTGGAACACTTAGAACTTAAGATGAGTGCCTCAACTGTCCTCCATACATTGAATTGGAACACCAGAGAAAAGCATTACGGCTGACTGACAACCGGATTAGTGGTTCGTACTAGAAGAGCTGACGCAACCTTCAATACACCAGAACACAAGAGGCATGGTTCTACTTTTGCTTAAAATCATAAAACAGGTTATAAACAGCAAATGATGCACATTTGGTACCAAAATTAAAATGCAAGTTTAAAAATAATGGCTTAGGGGAAAGTTTCAGTAGAAACTGGGTCTAAGTAGGGCATACTATTGTGAGTAGAAACATTCCTGAAATGCTCCTTCAGTAAATACAGGCCTGCCTCTTCACAGCAGTTTTAATTCTAATTAAGACAAACATTTTTAATTAAGCCTTAAAGATCCTGGTGAAGGGCCTTCAGTAAAAGTGTCCTTGGTGGTTCCTCCCAAGGTAATTTATTTTGAAAGACAAAGATGTGGATCTCTCAAAATCTTCAGAGAAGACATTTCCCTCCCTGTTTTCTGCTACTCCACACAGCAAACAGACGAAAAAAGCTGCTTGCCCTTTGGAACAGACAAGAAAAGCACTGCTGGTTTTGATTCGGGCATTCCCCTTCCTTTCAAAACACTGGCGGACAGAAGCTTCAAATTCACATAACATAAGAAAGTACATTTTGTAAAGTGGGGACACAGAGCAATTTTCCATATCTTGTTTCCTTTCCTCCACCCCCGCCCTGTGTCCCACCATCACCGTGGAGAGCAAAAAATGAACTGCTATTATATATACACAAAGTCAAGAACTTGTTCCAGAAAACCTCTAACAAAATCATCTCTACTTTTTACCCATTTGCTTATGAATTCTACTTTATCTGGGCTGAAAACTATTTTTTTAAGGCAAGATAAGATGAAAGCTGATTTTCAGAAATCCAAATAGAAATATACGCTGGGCTATGACTTTCAGCAAGGGGGTAGAATAAACAGGGAAAAATCCCAAACTGGGCCTGCCTTTGATTTTTACTTTGCAGAGTGCTATTACCGCTATATTTGCATTAGGCTTGCGTCTCCATATTTCCTTGACTAGAGAGGAAAAAAGCTGAGATAAATGGGTATGGAGGCAATTAAGAAAAGGTTAGCAAACACTGTATGTTGCTCTGCAAACTCGAGCTGGCTTCTCCCCATTCCCTACATTCCTGGCCAAGAAAAAAGGGTACTGGCTTGAAAAGCAAATGTGAGTTGAAACTGGTTTCTCTAACCTATCTGAAAAGTCTTTATGCAATCAGGGGTCTATTATTTCAGGAGACAGAGAGAAAGGGGCAAAACATTCACGTTGCCAAGGAGTCGTGCAGTAGCTGTCATTCCTACATAAATTTTATTATTGAAGAGGGGAAAGGAGATATTTTCGCCAAAGTTTATTTGGATCCCCTGGTTACCGAAGAAAGAAATTCTGCCGATTTATTTTATCTTTAGTTGTAAACTGCCAACCCTGAAAGAATTGAAGGACCTAAATGTTGACCTCCTGCTGCCAACCAGTTCCCTCCACAGTGAATTAACCAACAAAGAGGAAACCCTTCAATGGGAATTTTGAGGTAGTATCAAAGAAAAAGCCTTTTTTAAACACAAAATTAAATTTACAGAAGAAACTTGGTCAAATTTTCCTGTGTTATAACAGGAAACCAAAGACAAAAGAAAATCAGATTTTTGTGGCTTTTTGTGCTATTTCAACTTTGTTACAACTTGAAACGTTTCCAGGAAAGCTTTATAAATAGTCCCAGAGAAGACATGAAACTGGAAGGAATGTAATGAGTTTCTCAGGTGTCTATGTGTGTGTGTGTGAGTCTGTGTATGTGTGTGTGAGAGAGAGAGAGAGAAAGAGAGAGAAAGAAAGAAAATCGCCGGCAGGTCCTCTCTCTTTATTTCCCTTTCTCTTCGCTGACACCAGCAGTTGAAGAATCAAAATTAGAAAGGAAGGGGTTTGTAGCGAGAAATCATAAGTTGACTGATTTTTGCTAAGGGCATAACTGGGGCGCCGGGGAAGGCAACTGGAGGGTCAGGGAGGGCGGAAAGCAGTAAAGCCCCCTGGGACTGGTAGCCTCAGTAGCTACCTTATTCTCCACTCCCCACCCCCATCTTATCCATTTGCAGCTTTCAGCGCTGGCGGAATAAAGCACAACTTTCTAGGCATCTGTGAGTAGCTCATGGAGAAAAGAAAGGTCTGGAGGAGAGAAGAGTTACTTAGAGTGGCAGAGAAAGAAAGGCAACTCACAATCAACGGCGGCGTCACCAAAAAAGGAAAGGAAAACAAGCCTGTCCCTCTCTCAACTCTTCATATCCATCAAAAACGTAAGGAAATAAAATCCAAACCGAAATACATTGGTGAAAACGCAGATAAGGTGGAGTGGAACCGGCAGAAATGTGAACACTAGGCAAATTCGTCCTCGAGAGAGGAAGGAAAAAGAGTGGGGAAGACCGAACAGCGAACCCCCGCAGCATCTCGGTGGAGTTGGGGCGTTTTTGCCTGCTTCTTTTTTAACGGGGGTGTGGAAGGCGTCGCATTTTTTTACACAGCCACATGGCTCTCGCCTCAAATGATAACAAATACCCAAAATAGCGTACGTGTTACTCCAGAACAGGAGGAATGGCCACGGGGAAGGGAGAGGGCGTGGGCTGTCGCTTTAGGTTTGGCGACCAGGGATGGGGAGGGAAGAGGGGTGGATGCCAGGGAGGTGGCGGGAGCCCCAGGATCCGAGAAGGGCCTGGACGGGGTGGGACGGGCCAGGGCAGAGGATGCGGGGACGTGGGGACAGGCGGTGACTGTCCTGGCAGTGGGGCGCGGGGCAGTCCGGGGCGGGAGGCAGGGGTCGCGGCGCGCCAGGCCCTCACCGCTGCTGAGCGTGGACTCGCAGTGCCAGATGTCCAAGCTGGCGGGTTTCCGGCAGGACTCCCACAACGACAGGTAGTACTGGTGGTCAGCTGTGACCCAGGCCGGGCTCAGCACCGCCCCCAGGTCCAGACACAGCGCCAGGAAGATGCACACCAGCCCGACCAGCTTCAAGGGGGTCAGCACCGACACGCGCACCTCCTCCATGCCGCTGCCCGCCGAAGCCATTCCTGGGCGCCGCTGTCGTCCGCCCCGCCGCAGGCGAGGACGCCAGGCGGGTCCGGAGAGCCGGGAGCCGGACCTCCCGAAGGGAGAAGCCGCCGAGCTGCCACGCGCGGGGACTCGCTCCCTCGGGGCTCTGCGCGCCCCCTGCCGCGCGGCCAAGGTGGGTCTGCGGAGGCGGCCGGCCGGGTGTGGGTCGTCGGCAGCCGCAGCGACGTCGATTCCACCCCGGACCTTCGCCGCCGGCCCCGCGCCGCGCTCTGCCAGCGCCCGCGCCCGCTCCTCCCGGCTCGGCCGGGCTCGCTCCGCCCCGGCCCCTCCCCGGGCTGCGGGAGGCGGTGCCGTACGGGGAGGGGCGGAGGGCCAGCACTTGGTGGCTTCGGCTCCAGTTCCCAGTGCCGGAGGCTCGCGCCTGTCCCGCCCCTACCCCGCCTCTGGCCCGCGGGCGGAGCCCAGTGCCAGCCCGCGCCCCCGATTCGCAGCGCGCGGCAGTTCCTTGAAGCAGCCCCGCGCCCAGCCCGGCCCTCGCCGGGCCCCCAGCCTCGCTGGCTCCAGGTCGCCGGGCTCTCCCCTTTCGCCCAGTCACGTGGGTTTCCTTTTCTTAGGGAGCAGGAGTGGGCGGTTTTCTAGAAGGCGCCAGAGGTGGATTCCTAGGTTTCCTAAGCTGTGCCTCTTGGAGCAAGGACAGGTCCTCTGTCTCTCAGTGATGTAACACGCCCCTCCCCGGACAATTTCACATCCTGAGAGATTTGCGGGACGGAGGAGAAAAGTGACTAAATGCATTTTGCCCTCTTTTCAAAACCAGACGGGCCCAGGAGTCCCCCGGTTTTCCCTGTTTTCTCACTTCTCCGCTAGCCTGCTGCCGCTTCTGTTCTCTGGGCTCACCTGCTTTTGCGCCCCCCTATGAAGGGCATTTGCTCTGAAAACGCAGGCGCTAAAAAGGAAATGAGAGCTCCTGCGAAATATGAAGTAAGTCTTATTTCCATCTCCACTGCTCTGCCCTTTGGGTGTTGGCTAAAACCTTTATTAATTCCGCTTTGCATTATGCCAAGCTGGATCTAATTCCCCTCCTGGGTATTAGGATGTCCTTGTCCTTAGCAAGATCTAGCCCAGGACCTGCAATAGGAAAAGTGATGTGTATATTTCCTGAATGGTAAACTAAGCAGTCTACAAATATTTGTTGAGCATCTAAGGGCTAAGGATTCAACACAATAGGACATCGTCCTGTTCTTAAGTAGATGCACCATATTTTCTCCCTTATGTGAGGACTAAACACCTCTTGAAATTGAAATTGAAATTTTGTAATTGCCTGGTTCAGCATGTGATTGGTGGGTTATCTGTCTCTTGTAGCTCTTTGACTCATCTCCATCTTTTCTATAAAATAAATAATTTATTGAATACATTAATGAGGAGGGGCGATGTTTCTAGATCTTTAGTCATCCCAAAAACTTGGTGAGACTCCCAAAACAGTGGTTAAGAGCTGAAGAATGCAAGAAACATGTTCTCTCTTCTATGAAACACAATCCTCAATGTTGCAAGATTTCATACTTTTGGTTGATAAAAATTATTTTTCCCCAACCACATCTTTCCATAGGTTGAACACATGTTGACTGCAGCAACATTTTGGGCTAAGAAACAATCGAGTTAGTGTCAAATGAGAACAAACCTAATGTAAAATAAACGCCCGGGCTTTTCTTATATTTACAATTTCGGGAACTTTTCTCCCACCTCTCAATCATTACCGTGCTAATTATTGCAGGACCCTTAACAAAGAATGCCTAGAGCATCCAGAGCTCACTAACCTCCAAATCCCAAAGGGCTTCTTGGCTTCTCAACTAGAAAGAAGCCTAAGTGCATATTCTCCTTAAAAAATTAGGGAACACTGAAAAATTTACAAACCGGGACAATTAAGAGGTGACCAGGATTGTGTGACTGTTCTTTTATCTAGATTTATAATGTGTATTCAAAAGTAATAAGAAAATGTCTTGAGTGTGCTCTCAAAGATATAAAGAAATCTTTATTTTGCCTCCAACTTCTATCATCTTCTCTTTAATAAGTTTATTTTCCAATTAGCCAATAGTTTTCTTTATTCTCTTCAATGCAGGCTTTCTTTCCCCTCTACCCCTACCCCAACCCCCACCTCCACCCACATTTTTGCTTAATTTTTTTCTGGCTTGTTCTCAACTGCTTGCTTGAGTTACTCCATCCTTCTTTATACTATCTAAAAAAATTGTCTCTATACTGTCTCCAAAACTAGAAAAGTAAACAATTTTTAACAAAAAGCCAAATTTTCCTTAAAAAACTCTATTCCTCTATTAATAATTTATAGAATTTTGCACAACATAGGCCCATCAACCATCCCTAATCCTCAATTTCAAAATACAACAAACTCTCAAAAGTATTTTTTTTCTTTTCATATATTTGTAGCAAACTCAGGGGCACAGGGACACTTCCTCTCCAACTGCTGAAGGTTCACTGGAAATGAACTGAGAAAAGGCAGATTAATTGGAGAAAAAAAATGCATGTAAAACTTATTTTATGTGCACAGGGAAAAAAATCACAGGAGTGTGATTACCCAATAACACAATGAGGTCCAGATGCTTATATACCCTTCTTCACTGAAAGAGAGATGAGGGGTGTAGGAGTAAATGATTGCCAGGGGAAACTGGGCCCAAAGAACATGGCCTGAAACAAAGTTTTTCTGAGCTCTGGGGAAGGTGGCAGTAAGGTGAGGGGCGGAATGTCACTGTGAACAAAGGTTGTCTTGTTATGCAGATTGAGCCTCCCAGGTAATTTCTGAACTGCCCTGGAAGGAATAGATGAAAAGTCAGTCCTGACATAGTGAGAACTCCCAGTCTCTTCTGGGTGGTTGATCTTTCCTGGTTATTTGATGAGATTTCAAGGGAAGGGGTCTTAAGATAATTGCATTTTTTTGGAAAGGAGTTTTCTTAGTTATATAAGGAAATTCCAGAGGGAATTCCTCCTGGTGCTTCAGGAAGCAAAGAGAGTCAGAGAGACAGAGAGGCAGGGAAAAGTCAGAGAGAGTCCTTGAGGCTGATTCTTGAGTTCAGTATGTCAAAGCACCATATTTGGGGGTTTTGTTTTATCATCCAAAAGACCACCAGGATGGCTAAATACTAGAAAGAAGAGCTTTATTGTCGATATTAGTTTTCAAACTGGGAAGAGAAGGTCTCTGGCAGGAGCCGAAGGTGCTCCCTCTTTGAATAGGGGAAGGACAGGTTGGGTTTTATACCTCACGGGGTCCATATTACAAAATATAATCATATATATTCAGCAAGTTTGGGAGAAAAGCAATACATATTTATCAGAGGAGAAGAAAGCATGCACAATGGGTAAACATATATGTAACATCCCATGTTCACTTTGGGGCAGGGTCTTAGCACTAAAACGAGGTGGAATTTGGCTCTTTACATCAAAAGTTGAACTGTATGACACAAAGACAGTTTCTATGCAGCCTCTGTAAGCTGGCTGAAACTGGCTTAAGGTCTGTAATTGCTTATGAGAAAAGAATGTTTATAAGGTCCGTACTATGTCCAATCAGAGCTGCAGTGGTCTGGGTTGTAACTTAGAATTAGTAGGAATCTGATAGCTCCTATTGTTTGGAAGTTCAGAACAGTAGGAATCTGGAAATTTGCCATGTCAGCTAGGCCCTGAACCCTAGACCCATAAGTCATTTTGTTTCCTTAACCACAGGGTTCATATTAGCTAATATAGGGGCATCTATTTCTCAGATTAGAGCTTTCTGATCCCCAACAGTGGGAAAACATCTTTCAAACTGATGTGAGGCTATCTATGGTTTCAATTTATCCATTTAGTGTGAAGAAATATGTAGGCAGAGATCCCACAGTGTATGCACCATAGTATTCTTCGAATATCTGAAAAATCATGAATTGCCCAACATAGCTGGCCCCAAAAGTTTCATATAAAAGACAGTAGACTTGGCCTGGTGCAGTGGCTCATGCCTGTAATCCCAGCACTTTGGGATGATGAGGCGGGTGCATCACCTGAGGTCAGGAGTTCGAGACCAGCCTGGCCAACAGGGCGAAACCCTGTCTCTACTGAAAATACAAAAATCAGCCGGGCGTGGTCGTGCATGCCTGTAATCGCAGCTACTGGGGAGGCTGAGGCAGGAGAATCGCGTGAACTTGGGAGGCAGAGGTGGCAGTGAGCCAAGACTGCACCATTGCACTCTGGCCCGGACAACAGAGCAAGGCTCTGTCTCAAAAAAAAAAAAAAAAAAAAGATGATAGACTTGTATTTACCCTAAAAATGGGAAAAGTAGAATGGGAGATTCCAAAATTAGCAAACATTGAATGAAAACCTACCCCCCAAAAGGTATCTGACTGGAAGTGG
Source organism: Homo sapiens (assembly GCF_000001405.40). Classification (NCBI taxonomy): domain Eukaryota; kingdom Metazoa; phylum Chordata; class Mammalia; order Primates; family Hominidae; genus Homo; species Homo sapiens. Next base: position 34,661,398 of record NC_000023.11, read on the forward strand.
GTGGTAGTTGGGGTGGGAAGTGACAGTTAAGATTTATGTATGTATCTTATGTATGTATCATATATGTGAATATATATGTGTGCGTGTGTATGTGTGTGTGTATGTGTGTGTGTGTGTGGCAGAAACAAAAGTTAAAATAGACCCAGATTTGAGAAATGGATTGAACTGTGAAGAAAATTCAAGTCCCTAGTCAAGGAGATTTAAGATCTCTTAAAAGGGATGGCTTTGTTGGCCCTGCACTGTCACATCACACAAAGGCCAGAAGCCACCTCCTTTACCCGAGGCTAGCTGAGGCACCATATCACCATGATCACCCCTGTCCTGGGACCTTATGGGGCAAAGGCTACAACTAGAGTCATATAGTACAGGAGCTCCATGAAAATTGGGTATATGAGTTGTATAGCCAGGGAAAGGCAGGAAGTTGTCTCTCTCTGAACCCTGAAATAAAGGATGAGATCATCTCCAAGCTTGAACCACTGAGGCCACAGAAACAGGTCAGTAATGTGAGAGGTCAAGGTCAAATGGAAGAAACTGGGAAGTTCATCAGGGAAGTGGAAAGTGTCATAGCTGGAGGTAGAAGGTGTGGAAGAGATGTGGGGAACACATTTCAGATGTTGAACTGGTCTTAAGAAAATAAAGAGAACTTACTGTCATGCTGTTAGCTTATAGCCTATCAGCAAGTACACTAACTCTGTGTTTTTTTTAACAGTTGAAATGTGCAACTACTTAAGTTCAGTCACGTGGGATAAACCACTAAGGACTTAACCAATTAGGAAGGAAAAAATTATTTACTGTTTTCAAGCCCAGCAAATCTCATACATTGTCCAAGTTCCCAATGTGTCACTGTCACAGCAGCCACTGGTCACTGCCAATCTTAAGCCCATTTTTTAGATGGGCAGTGGGAAGGTATCCTCCAGTTTTTCCGACTTCCATCCATATAGAGTAGGCTCTGTCCATTGGGTACAGGGCCACCTGGTTGGGCTCTTTCAGTTGCACTTCTCCTTCCAGATCCTGGAAAGTTGTTCATACACTGTGGATTTCAGCACTGGGATCACATCCAGACATGCACTGGTTAGACCTCTTTGCTCTCAGAGAGAAGAAATTGAATGGAGGGACAAACAGATTCCTTGAGAGAAAAACAATTAAATATTCATTGAAAAATTAGAAATACACTAGTCCTCCCATTATCTTCAGGGATATGTTTCAAGAACCCCAGTGGATGTCTGAGACCACAGATAGTACCTAATCATATATATAGTGTTTTTTCTATACATACACACCTTAGATAGAATTTTATTTATAAATTAGGCACAATAAGAGATTGATAACAACTAATAATAAAATAGAACAATCATAACAATATACTGTAATAAAAGTTATATGAATGTAGTATCTCTTTCCCTCTCAAAATATCTTATTTTACTGTGCTAACATGTTTTCAGATCGTGGTTGACCTTAGGTAACTGAAACCGAGGAAAGCAAAACTATGAATAAGGTTAACACCATTGTACCCATTGCTTGTCCAGTGGAACAAGTAATAAGGTCAACAAGATACTTTAGGAATAAGAAATGGAAAAGAGCACGTTAGAGGTTTACTGTCTTTACTATACTTTTATTCTTGAAGTCCACTCCAGAAAGACTGTGATTTGAGTGAAACCATAATATAATGAGGCCTACCTGATATTTATGGTAATTAACGAGGTCAAGAGGGCTCCAGATTCTGGTGCATTCTGTTTCATTTCTGGGATTTCTTGTTGCATTGTTGCAAATTTTTTGGCTTAAAATTATCATAAATGACGGTGATTGATAGTTGCTGTTTCTGCTTTTATTTAAAAAATACCATTTATAAAAATTAATAATCCTGCATCTAAAAATCAAAATTTTATCATTTTCTAATGTCTTTTCTATTTTAAAAATGTACTATAAAGTTGAATTAGTTAGATTTCGGTCAATAATATCAAGTAACTTACTATTCACATTAGACGCTGTTTTGATTTCAGATTAATTGATGTTTCACAGTAGGATCTATGACCATAAAAATATAGTTGTCCACAAAAAAAGAAAACAAATCATGGAATTGGAAACACTAAAAGACATGAGAGGGAAAGGATGATTAGTTTTAAAATAAATACGTTCATTATAATGAAAGAAGTGTGCGTCAGATGACCAGGAGGTAGGAATATGGGAAACTTAGACTATTCTCACTGGGACCAATTCTAAATGCCTTTTCCATTTCCTTGTCAAGCATTCATTTCCTTAACAATGATTACATATAGGCACAACTCTTCCTCCACATTTGTATTGTATTTGTATTCATTTAAAGCTATGTGAAGAAATGACCAGGTGTATGTATATCAAGCACATCATTACTGCAGTTTTAATCTTTCTGTCTCCTTGTTTTTACAACTACAAGTTGAATCTTCTGGTTACACTGAAGCAAGTGCATGCCTACCAACTTACTCTCATCATGGTGGAATTTTGGTTATCCTTGGACATCATCATCATGATACATCATTTCTATATCTGTTTTGGAGTGTCCTGTGCTTGGGAACTCAATGGAAAATGGAACACCATAGCCTCAGAAATAGGTACCCTGAATAGCTGAAACATTGGTAGAATGAGCAGGCTTAGCTTATTCTTGCTGGAGCTTGGAGGGCTAAGTGTAGACTCATGACTTAGGTGTTGACTGAGACACAGATCAAGAGGTCAGAGTAGAGAAGGAAGGCATCAGGAAGTTATTTGCCCTCCCCCACTGCTCTTCTTGGAGCTGGCTCGCTAAGCTTTATCTGTGACTTTAAATTTTAGTCAAATCCATCTTTATGGACTTCTTGGTGAATTTTCATAGACAGTCTTCATAGAGACGTTTTGCCCTTGTGCCTTTGAATGAAGATGCTTGCAGATAGATGGAAAAAGTCTAAGAATTTCCAGCTTAGACACCCCCTTCCTGAATTTGAGTCCTATTTTGTCAGTTTCCCACGTTAGCAATAGATGTTGATTGACAAGATGACCAGCACTGTTATATTCGCTGCCATGTGCTTATTTTTTGTAATATAGAAAATCTCAAAACTGTTGTAGCTGGGAGCCCTTCCCCAATGTTCTCCTGATGGACACAGTATCTGTAGCGTCAGAAAATTCTCCTTCATAGGAAGTATGGGTACCTCCTCCCTTTGTGGTCTGAAGGACTCACATGTACAATGGGGCCAAAAGTGACCCCAAATCATACATCTAAAGTATAGTGATGGCTCAATGTCAACTAAAGGAAAAACTGAAATTAAAAAGCATTTAGTAGAAAGAATACCTACAACAGTTTATACTCACATTCCAACTTAGAAGAATGCAGCTAAGCTATTTCTCTTGAGTTTCCAAAAGCTGGTCTTAAATGTCAGCAGTACCAGGGGATTGAGGATAGTGGAATAAAGATTCTCTTAGAAATTTTTTTTCAGTGTAGCTCTCACCTTTAGATTTCACCTTTTAATATTAGTCTGTAAAGTGAGTATTACTGCATGGTATGTCTACAGTCTGTCAAAATTCAAAATGTCAGTTGATTCATGTCCAAACAAACATAGGTGGAAAAATATTAGAACAATATGAAGATCTGTGCTTATGTCATTTCTGAATCATTTTCTTTTCAACTTTTCTCTAGTCTACATGTTTCACACTTTTCCCCCTCTCCTTTCAAGCTTTCTTATCTTTGGTAAATAAGAATAGGAATCTCTTTAAATTCATCAAGACCAAGGTTAAAATACTCGCTTTGGAACCTACTGACTGTATGGCTTTGAGCACGCCATGAGCCTCAGTTCCCTCCTTTATAAAATGATATGATGCATCACTGGGTTGTTGTGAGGATTAATGTGGTAATTTACATAAGGTGTAATGTCTGGCATATGGTATGCACGAACCATGATTATTACATTATTATAATCCAGATGTCAACGAGGGCCTCCTGGTCCCTGAGAGATTTAGGTAAACTTTGCTCAAATCTCCAATTTCATGATCCTTCAGAGTACAAAGTCCTTTCCAAAATTCTTACTTCTTCTTGTCTCTGCATTTGGTTCTGCATCTTACACTGAATTCTTCCCCTTGAAAACCTAGGTGCAAATGCCAGCCCCTTTACCAATTTCTGGAAAAAAAAAATCAAACGGCACTATTTAGTTTTGAGTTAATACAAGACTTTTCTGACTGCTTCAGAAGTCATAAGAAAGGGGTGCTACACAGTGAAGAGGAAAGACTTCCATATCTTGCTTGGTTCATCAGAACCCACATCTGCGCCCTCTTCTCTGTCAGCCTTCTCCTCCTTTTTCTCCCCAGTGCTCATTCAGTAGTTTCCATCCCTAGTGCTCTAAACTCTTGCTACATGAAGTGCATATGCCATCATTACTGGCATCACCTGGAGGTTTGATGGTAATGCAGATTTCTGGCCCCACCAGAAATTCAGACCTACTTAATCAAAATCTGTAGTTTAAACGGGATTCCTAGTGACTCTTGCACAGGTTAAAGACTGAAAAGTGCTGATCCACCTCATCTTCTCAGGCCTGTTAGGGCTCAACGTCTACCCCAGTAGCTGTATCAAAGTTAAGAGAATAAAAAGTCACTATTTTATACCCTACCTTTCAACACATTATGCGGTGACCAGGTGAATGGTGTTTCTTTCATGTCCACTTCTCAGTAGGCTCTATTTGTCACTGATTTTGGGCCCATTGACAATGATGAATCAGCTTTGTTTTAGCTGACATAAGTGTATTCTTCACTCAATTGTTCTTAACCACCTTGTTTTGTTATGCTCCCACTACTGGGGGCTGTGATTCTCAGTGCAGCCCGTGATTCTGACAATGTATTAATTGGCTGATAAAGATAAATGAGGATGTCTCTCTAGGTACACCTAAAACACCAACTTTTAAGACAGAGGAATAAAAAGAGTGACATATGGCTTCTTGTGAATTCAGTTTGTGACATTCATACAGCTTCACGATGCATAAATAAACTACTAGAAATTTAGAAGTAAAAAGCAAAAGTTCATTTATCCAAGTCATCTGAAAAAACATCATGAAACAAAGTACAAAAAAGCTGCTAATCCCCACTGATAAAAACTATCAAATAGGAAGGGTCACAGACTTGGAAATGATATCTCTAGTTAAAGTAAGAGGATGAAGCTGCATTGTGGTTTCAAACTGTGGCCACGTTGACATTTGCTCTCTGAGCTCCTTTTCAATCCCTTATCTTTAGCCAACCCAGTTGTCAGATTTTAGGATAGTCTTCTTAATTGACAAACAAGAAATGGTGTGCCCATGAACAGTGCTGTGAATAGAAGCCGCTTATGGAAGCCAAAGCACATTAGAGATGGCATTTGGAAAAATGGATCCAGGTGACATGATGTACAGAGATAGTGGATATAGGGTTTTTAGAATGATGGCGAGAAAATTAAAGTGGAAGCCAAGTAAAATTTACTTTAAATAGAATTAGAAAAGTTCAATTATATATGAATGGTTGATAGGTTAGGAGAAAAAATAGAAGAGAAATAAAACATTGATTACTTGAGTTGATAATTAAGACTAAAGGACAGGCTAGTTACCTTTGTAGGGATCAACTTTTCATGGCTGACATTGAATCAGGATGATTGACACCATCATTCTGTGTTTTGACACCACTGCCCTACAGTGAACTAAGTAAAGCTGTGATATCTGATAACCATTTATTATTTCTTGACAAGATATCACCAATTTTGATAAAGCTAGACAGATAAAGCAGATTCTTAAATATATTCAGAGAAATACATTTTTCCAATATATTCTATTCAATGCCAATTACAATTTTTCTCATAAGGTTTTGAATCTTTTTATCAATTCACTGTCACTTTCATTTCAACCTCTGGGCATTTCTTTGGTCATGCATTTTAATACTTTGAGTGTTCTCAGGAAGGGGAGCACATAATGTGTGTGTGTGTGTGTGTGTGTGTATGCATGCCTTCAGTCTTCTTATTTTTTACAGCATTAGTTTCTCAGTGACTGAACTAATGTGCATTGCTCATGCCTTCCCTAGAATATGTTTCTTTCTTAGAAACAGGCTTTCTCTTAAGAGAAAAAAACAAATCTGTTTTTCATTATTTGTTCAAGTTTCTGAATGGAGGATCAAATAATGTAAAAGAAAATAAATACATTAAAGTTTTGCTTTAAAGTCAGCAAAACCAAAGTGGTGATTATTTTAAAGGATATGGTTATAATTATAGACTTGCTGCAAAATAGTTTTAGTTATTCCATGCTTAATTCTATATTCATTTATGATATCAGTTTACATTTATGGTATTTTCCTGATAGTTTTCAATGTTTACTACCATTTTCCAAATCCAAAATGAGAGAAACAGAGACAGAAAGAGATAAAAACAGTCAAAAGGCATTCCTAAAGTACGTATGCAAATTTACAATTTTTCCATTTAAAAAATCTTACTACTTTTTATTTCTTTTTCTGCTCTTATTTTATTTAGTCTCTCGCATGATCCACATTTTTTTGGAATAAGAAAGCAGTAAATCAAATTGTGTGAAAACACACACACATTCACAGGCACACACACACACACACATATATATATACACACACACATACACCATACACACAGACCATACTGTATTATTTTGTGACATCCCATCCTTGTGAATATTCTTGTGTTGCCCCAGGAAAGATGTAGAACCATCTTTCTCTGAAGTATAGTCACATTTCACCAAACTGAAAACTATCTGCATATTTGGGGATAATATTTCTACTGCCATTTTACTGAATATAGTGCTTCTTTTGCCATTACCAAGTCAGATCCATGCCAACCAGTATGTTTATCAAACACAAATTTGGGACACAAGGTGTGACAAACTAGACAAGGTGTTCCGAAGGAACAACTAGACAAAATATTAAAAATCAGGCATGTCTTGCCAAATTTGCAACATAGGATTGCTAAATCTGCAGTGCAAAATGTTCACTCTGTCCTTGATCTCTCCTCTCAAACTTCTTTACCGTTGAAGCCAAGCATTTAAATGGCTTTGTCCTCACTCCGTTTTGCCTTCACACTTCCAAATGTTTTTCTGACCATGCCCAAGTTTCTCATCATACGCATTAATACTGCACTATTTAGTCTTGGAAGGTATTTCTTGCCTTATCATTATCCCTTCTGGGAAGCATAAGGATAATGTAAGATAAAAGTAGAATATGTGCATAAAAGAGGATACTTTTGGTGGTGATCATTAATGATGATATAAATGCAGAGATGCCAGAAGTAGAGAAGTTAGTCTAGATTGAGCAGAGTTCACTGAACACTGAATAATTGATTTGGTAGCGATTCTATAAGAATGAGACATTAGGAAAAGCATTGCATAGGAAAAAATGCAAAGCCTGTTTGGAAACAATCAAGATATGTGAATGCTAAAGAGTGAAGAGTTGGAAATGATTCCACAATTTTTAGGTAATCAGTCTGTTTGAAAAAAAAAACCTGATTCAAAAGGCAACTTTATTTTTCATTCTCTCTCAAGGTCACTTTAAACATTTTTAGTATGGGCTAATTTTTCTTCACTCCTAGTTGAAATCTCTTACAGAGCTCATGGGTTCTGTTCACTCTCAGGTAATAGAGTCCCATGATCACTTTAGTTTGCAAATACAATCTCAATTCAGTTATTAGAATAGCTAGCTGCAATACATTAATCAAAACTTCAAACTTGACTTAGCATTAAATCTTCTTTGTAGCTCAGGCCTGATCCAGGTCAGACATATAAAGCTGAGCCTTTCTTTAAGGGGTGCTGCTTCCCTTCTAGGGATATTTTTATGTCTTTGATCAGGCTGAGGGGTTCAATAAATATGAAATTGGTCCCACTTTGTTTTGCTTGTAAATTCAGCAGTTGGAGAAAGGGGGTCTGTTTCACCTTTATCAAGACACTCTGGTGTCTTGGTATCTGTTCTATTTGGCACCTCACTTAAATTTGAGGAAAGGGGAGTTCCATTATGACACCCAGTTACAATGTGCTGCCAAACTTGGCCAGGAGGTTGAAAAAGAGAGGGGACAGTATGAACATCACTCAGATGGCTGGTCAAGAACTGTCAGAGATTTAAATCTTATCACAGGTGTGTATTAATAACATCATGTGAGATCTAAATAGCTCCTAATAAGATTTTACTGCACGTTATTTTACTAATATCATTTTTTATAACTTACTGAATGCCTACTATGTGCCATCATTTTCTAGGTGTTCTGCACATGTGCTTATATGTGTTAAACGAACATAAGTACACTAGATGCTAGCCCTTCTTTTCAGGTTAGGGAACCAAATTGCACAAAGTTTGAGTTACTTCCCTAAGGCCACATAATTAAGTAGTAAAGCTGAAATTTTAATCTTATGTAAACTGAAATTGATAAAACATAAAAGCTATGTTATACAGAGGGAACAAGGATTGACAAGCACTGCTAATTGCCTTTTGTTTTATTCCTACAACTATAGTAGACCAGCTCAGGACTGACTCCCATCACTCCCCCTTTTCGCCTTGGTATTGCTAATTGCCTTTCCACCTTGAGACTGAGTCTTTTAGACTAAGCAGTATTTACAAAAAAACACACACCAAGTTAATTTTATGTAAAGCATGATCTGAATACACATACAAAGAAAAAATTTGTAAGACTACTACAGTTTTAATATCCTTTATCCAAAGTGCTTAGGACCAGAAGTGTTTGGGATTTTGGGTTGTTTTTTAGATTTTGGAATATTCACATATACATAATGAGATATCTTGGGGATGAGACCCAAGTCTAAACATGAAATTCATTTATGTTTTGTATCTATCTCTTCCACCCATAGCCTGAAGGTAATTTTGTACGGTGTTTTTAAATAATCTCGTGCATGAAACAAAGTTTTGACTACTTTTTGACTGTCACCTGTCACATGATATCAGGAGTAGAATTTTCCACTTCTGGTCACATGTTGCTTCTCAAAAAGACTCAGATTTCCTGCATTTTCAATTTAAGATGTTTGGATTAAGGATGCTTTATCTGTATATTAACCAGAGATGAATGGATGTGTCTCAAGCGAGAGATAATAGATGTCAGTACACTATTGTTTCCTAGTTCAGATTTCTTTTGTACTATAATACTTTATATATCATTTTGATGTATCATGATCTCATGTAAGGAATCTATTTCTACTTATCCAACTCACTAACTTAATATTCTGCACTCTGTCTGTAAAGCAAGCCAAGACATACTCATGCAAGACGCGTGGCTAGTAGACCACATTATTGTTGGCCCACTCACATATGGAGATATTTACCAGGAAGGGTTTGTGTTTGTTGTGATACCGCATTGTGATATTGCACATGTTCTAGTAATTGTTAAATTAACTGTGGAAGAAGAAATGGTAGAGCTTTGGAAATAATTGGACAAAAATCTAGATGCAGCCCAAATCCAGAATAACTCCAAATCATCTAAATTTTCTTTCTTCTTAAAAATCAAACAAACAAATGAACAAAAAGAATAATAATTGATTCACGAAAGATATTAGGGAACTTCTATCTGTGGACCTTTATTCAAAGAAAGTCTCTTGAGCCTGTATCACATGATTGGTCAATTGATGCTCATACTCTGAGAAAGTCTTATTTTATGTTGAAGAACAAGGGTTGAGAATGTTTGAGTGTGACACTAAACACACACACATACACACAAACACACACACACCCCAAAGATAAAGTTGGAGCCCTTGCCAGGGTACCCCTGTGTCCCATGAAGGGTGCAAATCACCAAAGGCCTGGGTCAGGCAACCATCAGACTTTAGAGAACCAGAGTTAAACTAGAATCCCTATGGCAACAACACAATGGCATTAGAACAGGACTTTCTAGCCCTCTATAAGGATAACTTTTGGGAGGAAAACGGATTTATTTGGATCAAGTAAATTATCTTTTTGCTGATTGCAAGCTAAAGGGCTTAAAAAGAAGAAACTGGATGTTCTGCTAATAAAGATATGTGAGGTTTTAAACAATGCATTAGAAAAATAAAAGAGATGTGACCGTGTTTACATCTCAACCTACTGAGGAAGGTCGTACACATTAAACCTGATTTTAGGACATATTATTAGATTGAATGTAAATCTAGCTATCTTTACAAAAGATTATTTAGTATCACTTTATTTGCAAATGGAAGAAGATACAGACTTAGAGAAACAATGATTTTATAAAAAAGAATTATAGATTGAGCATCCCAAATTAGAAAATTTGAAATTTGTAATGCTTCAAAATCCAAAACTTTCGAACATCCCCAAAAAGGTGCTCAAAGAAAATGCTCACTGGAACATTTCAGATTTTGTATTTTTGGATTTGAGATGATCAATAAAGTATAATGCAACTCTTCTAAAGCCCCCGAAAATCTGAAATCTGAAACATTTTTTATCACAAGCATTTTGGATAAGGGATACTCAACCTGTATAATGTCTTGCATTTAACATTATTTTCTTGCTTTTGGTTTATCCAATAATTCCACTTATAGGTACATACCCTAGAAATATTCTTTATAGTTAAAACATAGGCTTTCTTGCTTTGGCTACCACAGTGAGCCAATGTCTGTACTTAGTTCCACCCAGCTTATTTGTTTTTAGCTTCATAAATATTCTGTAAATATGTAGTTAAAACACCTAAGCTAAAGCAGGTGCTTATAACCCTTCCTCCCTCATGAAAAAGAAGGAAAAGAAGTATGAGAGAGCTCTGGCATTGGGCCAGAGCATTACTTCTTCATGAGCAGTGCAATGAATGCAGCTAATTGAAGACATGTAAGGGACTGCATCCTGGGGAGAAACCCGGCAAAACACATCAACAGATTTTCAACCCTAAGGTGCAGACCAGGAAGTAAAATCCAGGCCTATGGCAACCAGATGGGACTGAAGGAATGAGATGATATCTAGAGGGTCCACAATGAAAAGTGGAGAGGTAGAATACTGAGAAATCCTCTGAGAAGAAGCAGTAGCTGCCATGGATTTTTACAAGATGTACAAGACTTCACACTTGTTCAGGAGGGAGCTGTCACTAGCTCTCACATAGCTTGGACAGTGGTGGGTAATTTCTCAGCTGAAGAAATTTTTTTTTCAGTTTCCACTGGGTTCATGCACAGTGTTCTAACTTTGTGAAAACACCAGTGGGCGTGGGATGGGGTTGGGATGGGTATTGCAACCTGGTGTAGATAGGTCCTCAGAGGTTGCTATACCAAATCACCATATAGATGGTAAATGAGTTCCTCCACACCAAAGAAGCAAGTTCACATTGGGCAGCTTCTGCCTCTGAGCAAATTACCAACTCTAAAACCATGTTTCTTCCCAATTAGTTCTTAATAGAAGTACAACATACTTATAACAAAGGGTGTATAAATATAAGCAACAACAATTAACTGAACACTCATGTGCCCAACCCACATTTAGAATAGAATTATTATCAGCACCTTAAAACCCCTGTATGCTCTTCTTCATATTCCCCTCTCTATTCAGCTTAGAGGTTCCACAGTACAAAATTTTATATTAATTTTCTCTTGCTTTTACTTTGTATTTTTCCCACAAGAACAATGTGCTATTTAGCTTTACTTCATTTAGTGCTATATGAATGTAATTCTACAGCACGCATTTTTCTGTGACCCTTTTCTGAGTTTCTTCCACAATGATACAGGTAGTTGCTATCCATTCATTTCTTCTGTTGTATAATATTCCAATGTATATTCATACAATGAGTAAATATGTGTCCATTCTTTTGTGGAAGGCCATTTGAGCTAGTTCCATTTATTGCTTTTAAGAACAATGCTGCTAAGAATATTCTTGTAAGCATTGCTTAGGGTGTATGTGCAAGCATTATGTACTCAGGAGTGGAATTATGGGTTATAAAGTATAATCTTATTTACTTTTATTGGACAATAGTGAACTGTTTTCCAATTTATACTTCTACCAGTACTGAATGAAATAAATTTTATGTTGATCCATGTTTTCATGAGCATTGAGTTATTGAGAAGCTTTTGCAATAACATCTCAGAATTGTCCACCTGGGGGAAGAAGGAAGGAAGGACTGATTGATCCACGGGTTCTTCTACCCTTCTGGTGAAGACAGACTCATGTGCTGCTAGCTAACTACCTTGTACTTTTAGGTTTCATATATGTGAATGCAGGTGAGTTCATGCAGGCAACCATAGACAGCATGGATTCTGGAAAGGAGAGGTACAGGGTGTACCCTCAGGAGAGGGAGCTCTTTAAGGTAACTCCTGAGCAAGCTCATTAAAGACAGTATGGAAGCAGTTGCTAAAGCAGGGGATGAAATAAGAGTTGATACATAAGAGAGTACAACATTTTTTTGTATTTCTTGTGTTATTTTTTGTTTGTAGGTATCCTTTATCGAGTTATTAGTTATCTTTTGATTTTTATTAGCTTTAATGAAATAAAATATGCATACAGTAAAATTAACTTTAAGAGTACAATTCAATGAGTTTTTACTAATGTGTAGTCATTTGACCTCCACCCTCATCGTGATATAAAATATTTTCATCAACTCTATAAGTTTCCTCATTTTCCCTTGCAGTCAATAACCTTCTGACAATGGCTGATCTGCCTTCCATAGTTAATAATAGTGGTTAATGATTCCCTTTCATTTCTAATTAAAAAAAAATTCACATCAGGAAAGGATGTTGAATTATATCAAATGTGTTTTATTAATTTATTGATACGTTCATCTTGGGTTTTTCCTCTTACAGTCTCTTAAAGTAGTGAGTTGCACTAATACTTTATTACTATTTAAATAATTCCTTAGATAGCAATTTGATGATGATTTTTTAAAATAAACAAGACTATATTCATATTGCTACTAGTTTGCTTATGAGTAAACATCTATATTCATGAAATGTTCTCATAACTTTGCATCTCACACTCTTTGGGAGGAAGTCACTATACACGGTTCACACTTAGGAGTGGAGAGTTATCATCTACCTCCTTGAAGGATGAGTATTTACATAAGTTATTTGTAAATCTTCTGCACAAGAGATTTATTTATTTTCTTCCAAATATTTATTTAATCACTTATTTATGTAGCTATGGACTCATAGATATTTATTTTATAGTTTGGGTTACAATCCAATGCTACATTATTTTGTTGCTCATATGTTGGTTCCTGTGATCCCTTCACACATCACAATCATTGTACTTTGTTTCATTTTGTTTTTTCAAACACTTCCTTACTTTCTAGCACTACAAGATGCTCTACGCTCATCTTGTACATTTCTAGCCCAAGTCCTAGAATCAACTATTTCTCAGGGAAGCCCAGTCCTATACATTTTTAATACACTATTCTTTAAAAATTTTTGCTATTAAGGTTTTTATGGAATCATTGAATAATTTGAAGTATTCCTTCTTTTTCTTTACTTGCCTGTAAAGCCATCTGATTCTAGTGTGTGTGTGTGTGTGTGTATGTGTGTGTCTGCGTGTGTGTGTGTCTGTGTTTTTGGTAGAATAAACTATTGATGTTATATTTTAATGATTTTTAATTTTTTTAATTGAACCAATTAAGGTGGGTTATATTTTTTTAGAAATTTTCCCCATTTCATCTAATATTTTAAATTTATTGACAAAATTATTTATAGTATCTCATCTTTTTAATCACTTTAGTATCTGTGGTTATTTCATCTCTTTCACTTCTAATAGTCTATTTTGTCTTCTCTATTTTATTTGATTTATTATTATGACTAAGGATTTATTAGTCTTTTCAAAGAATGGTTTTTGGTAGGCTTTGTTGGCCTCTTTTGTTCCAATTTTTTAAATAATCTTTATTATTTATTCCCTATTATGTGGGTGAGGTTTGCTCTGTTGTTTTTATTCTGAGGTTGGATACCTAGTTAGTTATTTTTAAATGTTTATTGTTTTCCAATATACATACTGAAGGCTTTAAAAATTTCTCTAAGTACAACTTTAGCTATATCCTACAATTTTGATGTGTATAATTTTTGTTATTTAGTTTGAAATAGCTTATAATTTCATTATGATTTTTTCATTTATGTTTTTTTCTAACTCAAAGGTTATATCAAATAGTGCTTTAAATTGCAAAATTCATTCATTTTTTATTTATTCAACCAGTATTTGTCACATATGTAGAAAGTACCAGAAACTATTCTAGTCATTAGTGTTATAACAGTAAATATAGCAGAATGAAAACTATAGGAATTGGGAGTTTACATTCTAGAGAGGGGAGACAGATGATAAGATATGTAATATTGTATATGGTGTGAAATGATTTGGAGAAAAATAAAGTATGGATGAGGGATAGAGATTGAGTTATCAAGAAGGTGTTTGGCGAAGGCCTCAGTAAAAAAAACAAAACAAAACAAAACAAACTTTTGTAAAAGACCTAAAGGATACGAGGGAGCGAGTGTTCAGATATTTTCAGAAAGGATCCTGACAGAAGAAATAGCAAGTGAAAAGTTCAGAGGTGGAATCAGGTTTAATGTGGTAATGGAACAACAGAGGCCAGTGTATCTGGAGCAGACTGAATAAGGGAGAGGGGAGGAGATGACATGATGAGGTAAGAGAGACAAAACCAGAAGCCACTGAGGGAATATGAAGAGAGGTAGGACTCATCCAGCTAAGATTTTCACAGGATCATTATAGTTGTGGAGTTGAGAATAAACAATGTGGGGAAAAAGGAAGCAAAAAGACCATATTTCCATTTGCTTTGTGGCCTAGAGCATGGTCAATATTTACAATGTTCTCCAAGTTTTTGCAGAAAACGTATATCCTTCAATCACTGAATGCAGTGTTACATATACATTCATTAGATCAAACTTATTCATTGTGGTGTTCAAATCTTCTGTATTTTGCTAAATTTTTCAATCTATTTGATTCATCAGTTGATACAGATATATGTTAAAGTCTCATTTAATTTTGTCAATATGTGCTCTATATAGTTTGAGGCTATACTATTAGGCACATATAAGTTAAGAATAATTTTCTTCTTGCAAATTAAATGTTTTTCTCACCTTGTAAAACTCTTGTTAAAATAAATTAAAATGGAGACCATGTCTGAAGATTCCCTGAGTAGACAAAACCAGTTAGACCTCATAAGCGACCTAAACTTGATGAATTTGCAAACATAAGTGAAATTTAAGTTGAGTTATTTCCTATAAATGCTGATATTAAAGAAAAACAGAACTTAAGCTCAACCAATCAGGAGCAACCAACAAACTTGTAATTCTACAACTGAGGACTTTCCAATGGAATAGATTAAATAAGGCAAGCATATAACTAACCAATCAAATATTTTCTTTGCTTTACTTCTGTGTCTGTCCTATAAAAGCCTCCCTTTTGTATTTCCTCCATGAAGCTCCTGAACTGCTTCTGGTTTGGAGCTGCCCAAGTCATGAATTGTTTGTGCAAATAAACTCTTTAAAATTCTATTGAGTTTCAGTTTACTTTGTACACATTCTTCATACATGCATAATTTATTTAATCTCTTTCACATTTTCCAACTCTTTCTGAGATGCATTCTTGAGAGCCTTTATGGATCTATCTTTTATTTATCTCTTTTCTTCTTAACTGAACAATTTGCTGTTTAACCCACTATCAAGTTTTTAATTTTAATTATTATGATTTTCATTTCTACAAATGCCTTTGATTCTATTTCAAATATGCTTTTGTATTTTCTATTGTTTCTTATTCATTGTTTAAATTTTCAAACTTCTATTTTATGGTTTGAAGTATATGAACGTAGTTACTTTGTATTATGGGTTTGATGATTCCAACATTGGAATTCATTGCACATCATATTCTCTCTCTCAGTTATAGTGAATGGCTTCTTGTGGCTTTTGTATTTTTGTTTCTGTGAACTCATGTTCCTTAGATTATTACCTCTGGAAATTATTCGAGAATTGGGTTGCAATTGTTTCCCTCAAAGAGGATTTGTTTTATTATTTCAGTCATTTGCGGGTTCAGAACAGTTATCTTAAATACACCTCTCGAGTTTTCTGGTTTCACGAATTTAGGCTGCAAACTTGCATGAGACTAGTCTGTGTTTAAAAATTCTCAGGGGAGGTTGTTTCCTCCCTTCGTACAAGGTGAATGTCAAGACAATAAGTTTTCTTGCTGTCTTATTGGTGTGTCAGGTTTATTTCTTATTACTGTTACATGGAAGGTCTTTCCCTCTTGGGTCCTAGCTTTATCCTCAGAGTTGTATTAGACTCCTGCCTTGAGCAAGGCTTAGACTCTTCTCTTGTCCCTGTGCCTTCTGTAGCAGCAAATAATGCTCTGCTCAAGGTTGCCAAGGTTTACAGATGCCCTGTGGACAAAGGCTTCCTTATTTATCTCTTACATTCTGATGTTTATGCTTTCATTTTATTTTTTGTCGTTTTTTCATTGTTTATTTCTTGCCATATCAGTGGTGACATTTAAGAAAAAGTTCATATTTTATGCAACTTTTTGTTGTTTTTCTTAGAAGGGATGTTCAGGGTTTGAAATCAGCCACATGGCTCCAAATAGAGCCACTTTACAAACTCTTTTTCTTCATGTACATTATTTTCCTCTTTTATGTGTACAGTATTGTTTAGGTATTGTATGACCTTTACCCTCTCCCAGAAGATTACTTTGAAGAGAGAAAACTGTGATAAGAATTAATCCTGATAATTTGATAATTGTTGGTAAAATTGGAAATAAACAATATTTTAGTATGTCACAGAAAAATATTCAACTATATTATCACCCAAGTCTACTAGAAACCACCCAAATGTAAACCACAGTTATTAGTATAAAATGTGGACAACCATTTTCCAAGTTGGGAATCTGAAAGCTACAAGCAAAAACAGCACAATATAATCTCTATTTTAGGGTTATATTTCTTCTAACTTTCACCAGCAATGTTAGGTAATTGGACAGGTACTATGAAAGAGAGATGGATAAAATGCAATCCCTGAACTTCTTTCTAATTTCTGTCAAGTCATTGACTTCCATTCTGACAACCAGGGGATATATGCCTAAAAGAGCATAGAATTATATCAGTAAAAATAATAATCTTTTATAAAATAATGATAAGCTCCTCGATAAGAAAAATCTATTAATATTGTTAAAATTTCATATTATCTATAATGATACAGAGATCCAATGCAATTTCTATCAAAATTACAAAGGCATTTTTCACAGAAATAGAAAAAATTATTCTAAAATTTGTATGGAGCCACAAAAGACCCTGAGTGGCCAAAACAAGCTTGATAAAGAAAAGCAAAGCTGAAGGCATCACACTTCCTGATTTCAAATTATATTACAAAGCAGTAATAGTCAGAAATGTATGGCATTGGAACCAAAATAGAAATATAGACCAATGGAAAAGAGTAGAGAGCTTAGAAATAAACCCAAGCATATATGGTCAACCAGTTTTTGGCAAGGCCACAAACAAGACACAGTGAAGAAATTACAACTCCTTCAATAAATGCTTTTGGGAAAATGGGACATCCACATGCAAAAAAATGAAACTGGATCCTTGTGTTTGTATGCATTTATGCATTTATGTATTTATTTAAAATTTTAATTGAAAAATAAAAATTGTATATATTTTTTGTGTACAGCATGATATTTTGAAATATGTTTGTATTGTGGAATGGCTCAATTGAGCTAATAAACATATGTATTACCTCATTTATCTTTTATCGTGGTGAAAACACTTAATATCTATTATCTTAGCAATTTTTCAGAATACAATACATTGAAACCATAAAACTCCTACAAGAAAACAGAGGAAAAACTCCTTGATATTGGCCTTGGCAAATATTTTTGGATGTAGCACCAAAATCACAGGCAAAAATAAACAAGTGGGACTATATCAAACCACACACACACAAATGCTAACTATGTGGGTTTGAATAGGATAATTAGCTTGACTGTAGTAATCAGTTCACTATGAATATCTGCATCAAAATATCACATTGTACACCTTAAATATATATAATTTTTATTAAAAATTAAAATTAAAAGGTTGAAATTAAAAGAAAAATAAAAATTATCTCTATATTCAAGGAGATCATTGGGTGGTAGTTTAGCCTGACTGACAAAAACATAAATTATATGGGTACAGTGAATAGATTTATAAAAAGCATCATGGAATCACATAACAAAGACCCTTGATCCAGTATGATAAGACAAAGGGGTTGAGCCATAATGGACTTTTTCAGAAACATTGGAGGTTGGGTAGGTGAGAAACAGTTGGTGCTGAATAGTTATCCCATCTATATTTTACAACCTGCATTGCAGTTAGATTTGACCATATGGCTAGTTCTGGCCAATAGACAATGAGTGAGAGATAGCCTAAGTCACTTCTTAACTAAGGCAGTTAAGAATG
Organism: Homo sapiens; assembly: GCF_000001405.40. NCBI lineage: Eukaryota > Metazoa > Chordata > Mammalia > Primates > Hominidae > Homo > Homo sapiens. The sequence continues at coordinate 34,679,747 of NC_000023.11, forward strand.
AGGAATGCCTCTGTATTAGTCTGTTTTCATTACTGCTATAAAGATATCACCTGATACTGGGTAATTTATAAATAAAAGAGGTTTAGTTGACTCACAGGGGAGGCCTCAGGAAACTTACAGTCATGGTGGAAGGCAAAGGAGAAGCAAGCAGCTTCTTCACAAGGAGTCAGGAGAGAGAGAGTGTAGGGGAAACTGCCACTTTTAAACCACCAGATCTTATGAGAACTCCTTCACTATCTTGAGAACAGCATGGAGGAAACTGCCTCCAGATCCCGTCACCTCCCACCAGATCCCTCCCTTGACACACGGGGATTACAACTCGAGATGAGATTTGGGTGGAGCCACAGAGCCAAACCTCATCAGCCTCTTCCATCCCATTCTGCTCTCAGACATGCCCTAGGAAACTGTGCATGTGATGGTGTTCAATATGGAGAAGGATTGACTAGTCTTGATTTGACTTTACAAAAGTGAGAAACAAACATTGTGTTTAGTGATGAGATTTTTGAACCCTGGCTTTAGTGGTAGGTAGTGTAAATTACCTAGATTAATGCAGTACGTTTTAGGTTTGGGATCCCCCGGGAATAGATGCCAACACCAGGATTCAAGAACAAGTAGTTTATTTGGGAAGTGACAGCAGGACATGCCAGATAGGAAGTAAGATGATGAACAGTTAGCAGACAATAGAAAATTTGTTTTCAAGCATTTATTATTGGTAATTTGAGCTTGATCCTGCTAGGGAGTTCTGGGGAACAGTGTAGAATATGCACTTTTGAGTTATTCTTAAGTGATTGCGAGGGTTGAGGGAGCTGGTGTTTTATACACCAGTTCTTGTTAGTCAGAGTTTCTCCTGGGAAGTGTTAATTCCCCAGCACTTTTGCTTACCATGTAGATGAAAAAATGGGCCTTAGTGGCTAGAGAAAACATTCAAAGAAATGCAGCTGGGCACAGCATGTTTTCACTTGTATGAAGGCATGATACATGACATATTCTGGGAACCATAAATACTTGACTGCTGTTGGAATGTAATGTGAGTGGCTGAATGGCATGAAATAGGGCTGAAGAGACAATATGCCAACTAGTCATGGAAGCACTTGTTTGCCATGTCAGGACATTTTGTCTTTTGTCTTGTCAGTGGCAGAAAGCTGTGAATTGATTATAAGTGTGGGAGTGATGTGGTCAGATTTGCACTCCAGATTGGTCACTCTAGAGGGTATTTGGAGATGGAATCGAAGTGGACCAATTCAGAGACTGTTATAGAGCTTCAGTGATGAGCTCATGAAACTTGAAACTACAATAATGATAATACAGACAATATGATAGTAGCTAATATTATTTAGCAGTGTGTATGTGCCAAACCCATTTTTAGCTTCTTACATAATAAGTCAGTTACCACAACAGTGGTATCAATAGCAATTACTTGTATATCCATTTTTGGGAAACTGTGGCACAAAAATTTTAAGTACATTGCTGAAAATCAGTTCAGCAAACTGAACTGAATGAGATGGGTGAGCTTGGACACATTTCAGGATATGTTGTTCCAGAGTCTACACTCTTAATGTAACAACACCAACTGATCAAAAAAATGAATTTCATAATGTTATTTGATAAAATCACCAGATCATGGTGATTTCTAAGAGAAAGTGTGAAGGATGATTAAATTTCTACCACGGGTAAAAGATAAGATGCACATATATAAACAATATTTTTAAAAGAAGAGAAAATCTTTCATGCATAAAGTGCTGCTAAAATGCATGTATTTTAGCAACAACAAAAAAAGCTTCTGAAGTTTATTTTATCCCTACAGTTATAATAAAAGAAATGAACCCTGAACTGCATTAATTTCTTCCAAGAAACTGGTACATTAATTTGTGGCCCAAGAGCTAAAATATTAAATAGCTCATTTGCAGGGAGTATAGCATTTTGTTTACTAGCAATTTGGCAGTTAGATAGGGTTTTTGACCTAGGAATAAACATCCCTCTATGCAGGAGGGGCTGATTTTTGTCAGGATGTAAAAAGCAGACCTAATCACGAATAAGACTAGTAGCCTATAGTGGTCATTTTACCTATAGTGGTCATTTCACGTAGACTTAAATTTAAAAAAAAATTTTTCTTAAGGACAAAGATGTGTCACGCTTCAAAAATTTCTTCTCTAAAGATAGCTAAAATTGTATGGAAAATGAACTTTCATGTTACTATTGGTGGTTCAGACAGCAAAATAACCAGTGTAAGTGGTGGTGTAGATCTACTCTATACACCAAAGGAAATAATCATTCACTTTCTCATTTGAAAGTACATTTCCTGAGATCAATGATGTAAAAATATATCTTAAAGGCTAGGTGAGTGCTATAGGTGAAACTTATTTTTGTTTTTTGAGACAGGGTCTCACTCTCACCCAGGCTGGAGTGCAGTGGTGCAACCATGGCTCACTCCACCTTCAACCTACTAGGCTCAAGCAATCCTCCCTAAGTAGCTGGGACTACAGGCGTGCACCACCATGCCCGGCTAAATTTTTTTAAAAAATGTTTTTGTAGAGACAAAGTCTTGTTATGTTTCCAGGGCTGATCTTGAACTGCTGGTCTCAAGTGATCCTCTCACCTCGGCTTCCCAAAGTGCTGGGATTACAGGCATGAGCCACCATGACTGGTCTTATTAAATGCTGTTAGCAACTATATTCTCTTGTAAGACGATTATGGAATTGACAATACTCTTATTGAACTGCTCTACATACAATGTTTTTTTTTAAATATGGTAAAAAAAACACAAAACATAAAATTTATCATCTTAACCATTTTAAGTTTACAGTTCAGTAGTCTTAAGTATATTCACATTGTTGTAAGACAGACCTCTGGACCTTTTTCAGCTTGCAGATCTGAAGCGCTATGCCCATTGAATAATAATTCCCCATTTTCCCCTCTGCCCAGCCCCTGGTAACCAGCATTCTACTTTCTGTTTCTATGAATTTATTTTAGACAGCTCATATGAGTAGAATCATACAGTATTTGTCTTTTTGTCACTGACATTTCATTTGGCATAATTTCCTCAAGGATCATCCATGTTGTAGCATGTGACAATATTGTCTCTCCTTTTACAAAAAAGTTATAGCAAACTGTTTAATAGCTAAAAAATTTAATTAATCAACAGCAACCAATTCCTTAAGCATTCTGGTTGTTATTATCCCATGCTGTTTAAATGCTTTTCCAATTGAATTGAATTGTAGTTCCCATAATCCCCACTTGTCATGGGAGGAACCTGGTGGGAGGTAATCGAATCATGGGGGCAGTTACCCCCATGCTGCTGTTCTCATGATAGTAAATGAGTTCTCATGAGATCTGATGGTTTTAAAAGGGGCTTTTCCCCCTTTTGCTCAGCACTTATCCGTGCTGCCACCATGTGAAGAAGGGTATGTTTGCTTCCTTTTCCACCACGATGGTAAGTTTCATGAGGCCTCCCCAGCCATGTTGAACTGTGAATCAGTTAAACCTCTTTTCTTTATAAATTACCCAGTCTTGGATATGTCCTTATTAGCAGTGTGAGAAGGTACTAATACACATGAAATTTAGAATTTTTTTTTCTTATTCTGTGAAGAATGTCATTAGTAGTTTGATAGAAATAGCGTTGAATCTCTAAATTGCTTTGGGCAGTGTGACCATTTTAGCAATATGATTCTTTCTATCCATGAGCATGGAATATATTTTCCTTTGTTTGTGTCATCTCTGATTTCTTTTAGCAGCCTTTGTATTTCTCATTGTGGAGATCTTTCACCGCTATATTTAGCTGTATTCGTAGGTATTTTATTCTTTTTGTGGCTGTTGTGAATGGGATTGTGTTCTTCATTAGGCACTCTGGTTGGACGTTGTTGGTGTATTGAAATGCTACTGATTTTTGTACATTGATTTTGTACCCTGAAACTTTGCTGAAATTGTTGATCAGATCTAGGAACTTTTCAGCAGACAATGGGGTTTTCTACGTATAAAATCATATCATCTGCAAACAGGGATAGTTTGACTTTCTGTCTTCCTATTTGGATGCCTTTTACTATTTTCACTTGACTAATTGCTCTTCTTAGGACTTCCAGTACTCAGCTGAGTAGAAATGATGAAAACAGGCCATCTTGTCTTGTTTTTGTTCTCAAGAGGAATGCATACCGTTTTTGCCTGTTCAGAATGGTGTTGGATGTGGGTTTGTCATAGATGGCTCTTATTATTTTGAGGTATGTTCCTTCAATGCCTAGTTTGTTGAGTTTTTTTTTTTACATGAAGGGATAATGAATTTTATCAAAAGCTTTTCTGCACCTATTGCAATAGTTGTGTGGTTTTTGTTTTGTCCCTGCTTGTGTGATGAATCACATTTACTGATTTGTATATGTTGAACCAACCTTGCATCCCAGAAAAAAAAATACTGGATAATGGTGGATTTACTTTTTGAAATGCTAGATTTGGTTTGCTAGTATTTTATTGAGAATTTTTACATCTATGTTCATCAAGGATATTAGCCTGAACTTTTATTTCCTTGTGGTGTCTCTGCCAAATTTTGGTATCAGAATACCTTATAGAATGAGTTATAGAATGGCCTTATAGAATGAGTTAGGAAAGAGTCCGTCCTCCTCCTCAATTTTTTTTAGAATAGCTTCAGTGGGAGTGGTATCATTTTGGTAGAATTCGAGTGGGAATACATCTGGTCCTGGGCTTTTTCTGTTGGTAGGGTTTTTATTACTGTTTCGATTTCAAAATTCATTATTGGTCTCTTTAGGTTTTCAATTTCTTCCTGGTTCGGGAATTTATTCATTTATTGTGGGTTTTCTATTTTGTGTGCATAGAGGTGTTCATAATAGTCTCTGAGGGTTTTATTTTGTATTTCTGGTATTTCTGTGCAGTCAGTAGTAATGTTCTCTTTGTCACTTCTGATTGTGTTTATTTGGATCTTCTCTTTTTTCTTTATTAGTCTAGCTAGCAGTCCATCAATCTTATTTATTCTCTCCAAAAACTAAAAACCTGAATTTGTTGATCTTTAGTATGTTTTTTTGTGTCTCATTTTTCTTCAGTTCAGCTCAGATTTTGTTTATTTCTTATCTTCTGCTAGTCTTGGGGTTAGTTGGCTCTTGTTTTGCTAGTTCCTGAAGATGTGATATTAGGTTGTTAATTTAAATTCTTTTTAACTTTTTGATGTGGCCATTTAGTGCTATAAACTTTCCTGTTAATACTGTTTTAGCTGTGTCCTAGAGATTCTGATATATTGTGTATTTGTTCTTATTAGTTTCAAAGAATTTCTTGATTTCTGACTTAATTTCATTATTTACCCAGAAGTCATTCAGAAGTAACTTATTTAATTTCCCTGTAATTGTATGGTTTTGGGAGATCTTCTCAGCATTGATTTCTGTTTTTATTGTGCTGTGGTCCAAGGGTGTGGTTGGTATGATTTCATTTTTTTTATTTTTTGAGATGGAATTTTGCTCTTGTCGCCTAGGCTGGAGTGCAATGGCGTGATCTTGGTTAACTGCAACCTCCACCTCCCAGGTTCAAGTGATTCTCATGCCTCAGCCTCCCGAGCAGCTGGGATTACAGGCACCCACCACCACATCTGGCTAATTTTTGTATTTTTTTAAGTAGAGACAGCATTTCACCATGTTGTCCAGGCTGATCTTGAACTCCTGACCTCAGGTGATCCACCCACCATGGCCTCCCAAAGTGCTGGGATTACAGGCATGAGCCACCACACTGGGTCATTGTTTTTCCTTAATTTGCTGAGAATTGTTTTATGGATGATCGTGTGGTCAATTTTAGAGTACGTGCTATGTGCAGATGAGAAGAATGCATGTATTTTTGTTTTTGAGTAGGGAGTTCGGTAGATGTCTGTCAGGTCCATTAGGTTGAGTGTCAAGTTCAGATCCTGAATATCTCTGTTAGTTTTCTGCCTCACTGATCTGTCTAATATTGTTAGTGGGATGTTGAAGGTTCCCACTATTATTGTGTGGCTACCTAAGTCTCCTTGTAGGTCTCTAAGAACTAGTTTTATGAATCTGTGTGTTCTAGTGTTGGGTGCTCATATATTTAGGATGGTTAAGTCTTCTTGTTGAATTGAACCCCTTAGCATTATGTAAAGCGTTACTTTGTCTTTTTGGTTGTTGGTTTAAAGTCTGTTTTATCTGAATTTAAAATAGCAATCCTTACTTTTATTACTTTCCATTTCCTTGTTAGATTTTTCTTCATCCCTTTACTTTGAGCTTGTGGGTGTCATTCCATGTGAGACTGGTCTCCTGAAGACAGCATATATTTGTATCTTGCTTCTTTATGCAACTTGCCACACTATGCCTTTTAATTGGGGCATTTGGTCAGTTTACATTCAAGGTTAATATTGTTATATGTGAATTTGATCCTGTTATCATGTTAGCTGGTTATTAAGTTAGACTTGATTGTGTACTTGCTTTATAATGTCAATGGTCTATGACAAGTGCTGTTTTGTGTTGGCTGGTAATAGCCTTTCATTTCCATATTTAGTATTACCTTAAGAACCTCTTGTAAGGCAGGTCTCATGGTAACCAAACCCCTTAGTAAGAATATTTAGTTGTCTAAAGAGGATCTTATTTCTCCTTCACTTACGAAGCATAGTTTGGCTGAATATAAAATTTTTGGTTGGAATTTCTTTTCTTTAAGAATGCTAAAGAAAGGCTCCCAATTTATTCTGGCCTGTAGGTTTTCTGTGGAAAGGTCTTCAGTTAGCCTGATGAGGTTCCCTTTGTAGGTGACCTGCTCCTTCTCTCTTGCTGCTTTTCATAATTTTACTTTCATGTAAACCTTGGAGAATCAGATGACTATGTGATTTGGGGATGTTCACCTTGTATAATATCTTGCAGGGGTTCTCTGCATTACCTGAGTTTAAATGCTGGCCTTTCTAGCCAGGTTGGGGAAATTATCATCGATGATACCCTCAAATATGTTTCCAAATTGCTCTCTCATTTATTATCTCTGTATTTCAGGGCTTCCAATGAGTCATACATTTGGTAACTGTACCAATCCCATATTGCACAGAGGTTTTGTTCTTTCTTTTCTTAAAAAAATTTATGGGTACATAGTAGGTGCATAAGTTTATGGGGTACATGAGATGTTTCAAGACAAGTGTACAATGTGAAATAAACAAATCATGGAGAATGGGATATTAATCTTCTCAAGCATTTATCCTTTGAGTTACAAACAGTTGAATTACACTGCTTATTTCAAAATGCACAATTAAGTGATCATGGACTGTAGTCACTCAATTGTGCCATGAAATGGCAGGTTAAATTCATTCTTTCTATTTTTGCTGTACTCATTAACCATCCCCATCTCCCCCCATCCCCAGCTACCCACTAACCTTCTTAGCATCTGGTAACCATCTGGCTACTCTCTGTGCTTATGAATTCAATTGTTGTGATATTTAGATCCCACAAATAAGTGAGAACATGTGATGTTAGTCTTTCTGTGCCTGGATTATTTCATTTAACGTAATGATCTCCAGTTCCATCCATGTTGTTGTAAATGACTGGATTTCATTATTTTTGATGGCTTAATAGTACTCCATTGTGTAGATGTACCACATTTTCTTTATCCATTCATCTGTTGACGGACACTTAGATTGCTTCCAAATCTTAGCTATTGTAAATTGTGCTGCAACAAATACAGGAGCAAAGGTATCTCTTTGAAATACTGATTTCCTTTCTTTGGGGTATATACCCAGTAGGGAATTGCTGAATCACATGGTAGCTCAATTTTTAGATTTCTTAGGGACCTCTAAACTGATCTTCTTAGTGGTTCTACAATTTACACTCCCATCAACAGTCTGTGAGGGTCCCTTTTTCTCCACATTCTCGCTAGCATTAGTTATTGTCTGTCTTTTGGATAAAAGCCATTTTAACTTGGATGAGATGGTATCTCATTGTAGTTTTGATTTGCATTTCTCTGATGATCAGTGATGTTGAGTACTTTTTTATATGCCTGTTAGCCATTTGTGTCTTCTTTTAAGAGATATCTATTCAAATCTTTTGACTATATTTTGATCAGATTATTAGATCTTTTTCCTATAAAGTCATTTGAGCTCCTTATATATTCTGGTTATTAATCTCTTGTCAGAAGGGTAGTGATACGGTTTGGCTGTGTCCCCACTCAAATCTCATCTTGAATTGTAGTGCCCATAATCCCCACATGCTGTGGGAGGGACCCGGTGGGAGGTAATTTAATCATGAAGACAGTTTCCCTCATGTTATTCTTGTGAGACTGAGTAAGTTCTCACAAGATCTGATGGTTTTATAAGGGGCTTCCCCCTTCGCTCGGTTCTCACTTCTTCTCCTGCTGCCATGTCAAGAAGGATGTTTATGCTTTCCCTTCCACCATAATTGCAAATTTCCTGAGACCTCCCCAGCCAGGCTGAACTGTGAGTCAATTAAACCTCTTTTTTAAAAAAATATAAATTACCCAGTCTTGGGTATGTCTTTATTAGCTGCTTGAGAACAAACTAACACAGGTAGTTTGCAAATCCATTCTGTGGGTTGTCTCTTCACTTTGTTGATTGTATTATCATTTGTCATGCAGAAGCTTTTTAAGTTGATGTGATACCATTTGTTCATGTTTGCTTTGGTTGCCTGTGCTTGTGGAGTATTACTCAGGAAATTTTGGCCCAGACCAATGTCCTGGAGATTTTCCCCAAAGTTTTCTTGCAGTAGTTATATAGCTTCAGTTCTTAGATTTAAGTCTTTAATCCATTTTAATTTGTTTTTTGTATATGTTGAGAGATAGGGGTCTAGTTTCATTCTTCTGCATATGGATATCTAGTTTTTCCAGTACCATATATTGAAGAGATTGCCATTTTCTCAGTGTATGTTCTTGGAACCTTTGTCAAAAATGAGTTCACTGTAGGTGTGTGGATTTGTTTCTGGGTTCTCTATTCTGTTCCAAAGTTCTATGTGTCTTTTTTTAGGCCAGTACCATGCTATTTTGGTTACTATGGCTATGTAGTATAATTCAAAGTCAGCTAATGTAATTCCTGCAGTTTTGTTCATTTTGCTTAGCCTAGCTTTGCTGTTCTGGGTCTTTTGTGGTTCCATATACATTTTAGGATTGATTTTTCTATTTCTGTGAAGAATGTCATTGGTTATTTTGATAGGGATTGCACTGAATCTGTAGATTGCCGTTAGAAGTATGGACATTTTAACAATATTAATTCTTCCAATCTGTGAACATGGAATTTTTTTTTTTTTTAAGACAGGGTCTCACTCTGTCACCCAGACTGGAGTGCAGTGGTGCAGTCTCGGCTCACTGCAACCTCTCCTTCCCAGCGTCCAGTGATCCTCCCACCTCACCCTCCTGAGTAGCTGGGACTACAGGTGTGAGCCACCATGCCTGGATGATTTTTGCATATTTGTAGAGACGGGGTTTTACCATGTTGCCCATGCTGATCTTGACCTCCTGAGCTCAAGCGATCTGCTCACCTCAGCATCCTAAAGTGCTGGGATTACAGGTGTGAACCACCATGCCTAGCCTATTTTTGCATTTTTTTGTGTGTCCTCTTCAGTTTGTTTCATCAGTGTTTTATAGTTTTCTTTATAGAGATCTTTTACTTCTTTTGTTAATTCCTAGGTATTTAATTTTATGTGTGGCTGTTGTAAATGAGATTGCTTTAAAAAAATTTTTTCACATTGTTCACTGTTAGCAGAAAAAGTGCTACTGGTTTTTGTATGTTGATTTTGTATCCAGCAACTTTACTGAATTTTTAAATAAGTACTAACACTTTTCTTGTGGAATCTTTAGGCTTTTTCAAATATAAGATCATATCATTTCAAACAAGGATAATTTGACTTTTTCCTTTTCAATTTGGATGCCTTTTATATCTCTTTATTGTTTGATTGCTCTCTCTAGGACTTCCAGTATTAGGTTGAATAATGTCAATGATGACATTGGGCAACCTGGTTGTGTTCCAGATCTTAGAGGAAAGGCTTGCAGTTTTTCCCCATTCAGTATGGCACTAGCTATGCGTCTGTAATATATGGCTTTTATTATGTTGAGGTATTTTTTTCTATCCTCAATTTTTTGAGGATTTTTCTTTTATCATGAAGGGATGTTGAATTTTACCAAGTGCATTTTCAGCATCAATTGAAATGATTATGTGATTTTTATCATTCCTTCTGTTGATATGATTTGTCACACTGATTGGTGTTTGTTGAACCATTCTTGCATCCCAGAGATAAATCCCACTTGGTCATGATGAATGACGCTTTCAATGTATTGTTAAATTTGGTTTGATAGTGTTTTGTTGAGGATTTTTGCTTCAATATTAATCAGAGAAACTGGCCTGTAGTTTTCTTTATTTGGTGCCTTTTTCTGGTTTTAGTATCAGGGTAATACTGTCCTCATAGAATGAGTTTGAAAATTTTCCTCCTTCTCTATTTTTCAGAAAATTTTAAGTAGGATTGATATTAGTTGTTCTTTAAGTGTTTGCGAGAATTCAGCAGTGAAGACATCAAGTCCTGGGCTTCCCTTTACTGGGAGACTTTTTATTATGGTGTTGATTCTCTTACTTGTTATTGGTCTGTTTGGGTTTTGGATTTCTTCCTTGTTCAATCTTGGTAGGTGGTATGTATCTAGGAATTTGTCCATTTCTTCTAGATCTTTCAATTTGTTAGTATTTAGTTGCTAATAGTAGCCACTAATGATCCTTTAAATTTCTGCAGAATCAGTTGTAATGTCTTTTCATTTCTGATTTTTTGATTTGATTTGGATCTGCTCTCTTTTTTTCTTAGTCTGGTTAATGGTTTGTCAATTTTGTTTAACTTTTCAAAAAACAACTTTTTGTTTCATTGATCTTTTGTATTTCTTTTCATTTAGTTTCATTTATTTCTGCCCTGATCCTTATTACTTCTACTAATTTTGGGTTTGGTTTGTTCTTGCCTTTCTAGTACTTTAAGAAACATTGATAGATTGTTCATTTGAAGTTTTTCCTCTTTCTTGATGTAGGCACTTAGTGTTATAATCTTCCCTCTGAGTCCTGGTTTCCTTGTATCGCATTGGTTTTGTATGTTGTGTTTTTAATCCCATTTGTTTGAAGAAATTTTTCAATTACCATCTTAATTTCTTCATTGACCCACTGGTCATTCAGGAGCACATTGTTTAATTTCCATGTATTTGTATAGTTTCCAAAATTTGTTTTGTAATTAATTTCCAGTTTTATTTCATTGTGGTAAGAGAAGATGCCTGATATTTCAATTGCTTTGAATGTTTTAAGACTTGTTTTGGACCTAACATATGGTCTATCCTTGAGAATGATCCACGGGCTGAGAAAAAGTATGTGTATTCTGTAGTCGTTGGATGAAATGTTCTGTAGGTTGGGCATGGTGGCTCATGCCTGTAATCACAGCACTATGGAAGGCCAAGGTAGAAGGATTGCTTAAGTACAGGAGTTTGAGGCCAATACAGGTAACATAGTGAGACCCTGTCTCTCCAAAAAGTATAACACAAAATGAAATGTTCTGTAAATATATATTAGATCCATTTAGTCTATAGTTCAGTTAAGTCTGATGTTTCTTTGTTGATTTCTGTCTGGAAGATCTGTCCAATGCTGAAAGCAGGCAGTTAAAGTCTCCAGAAATTAGTGTATTGAGGCCTATCTCTCTCTTTAGCTCTTAATATTTCTTTATATATCTGGGTGCTCCAGTGTTGTGTGCATATATATTTAAAATTGTTATATCCTCTTGCTGAATTGACATCTTTATCATTATAGAGTGAATAGAGTGACATTCCTTGCCTCATCTTATAGTTTTGTCTTGGAATCTATTTGTGTAAGCATAGCTACTCCTATCTATTTTTGGTTTTCATTGGCATGGAATATCTTTTTCCATTCATTTCTATTCAGTCTAGGTGTGTCTTAATAAGTGAATTGTGTTTCCTGTAGGCAAGAGATCAATAGGTCCTGTTTTTCATCCATTCAGCCAGTATATGTCTTTTTTTTTTGTTTTTTTTTTTGACAGACTCTTGCTATGTCACCCAGGGTGGAGTGCAGTCACATGATCTTGGCTCACTGCAACCTCCACCTCCCGGGTTCAAGTGATTCTCATGCCTCAGCCTCTCTAGTAGCTGGGACTATAGGTTTGCACCACCCACGCATGGCTAATTTTTGTACTTTTAGTAGAGATGGGGTCTCACTATATAGTCCTGGCTGGTCTCAAACTCCTGAGCTCAAGCGATCCACCCACCTCAGCCTCCCAAAGTGATGGGATTACAGGCATGAGCCACTGCGCCCGGCCCAGTCTTTTTCTTTTGATTGGTAAGTGTAGTCCATTAACATTCGATTTTATTATTAATAAGTAAGGACTTACTCCTGCCATTTTGTTTATCATTTTCTGGTTGTTTTGTGGTCTTCTCTTCCTTCTTTTTTTTACTTCCTGTCTTCCTCTAGCAAAGGTGATTTTCTCTGGTGATATAATTTGGTTTCTTGCTGTTTATTTTTTGTGTATTCATTGTATATTTTTTGGTTTGAGGTTACCATGAAGCTTGCAAATACTATCTTATAAACCACTATTTTAACCTGATGCCAACTTAGCTCTATTTGCATAAACAAACAAACAAGCAAAAGGAAAACTAATAAAAATTCCATGCCTTAACTTTGTCTTCCTCTTTTTAACTTTCTATTTTTTCTATTTATATCTTATCGTATTGACTATGTCTTAAAAAGTTGTAGTGATTATGTTTGATTGGTTCATCATGTAGTCTGTCTACGTAGGACAGTTACAGTGTTATAATATTCTGTGTTTTTCTGTGTACTTACTATTACTAGTGAGTTTGTACCTTCAAGTGATTATTTGTTGCTCATTACTTTCCTTTTCTTTCTGATTAGAATTCCCTTTACCATTTCTTGTAGGACAGTTATGGTATTGATGAAATGCCTCAGCTTTTGTTTGTCTGGGAAAGTGTTTATTTCTCCTTCATGTTTGAAGGATATTTTCACTGGATATACTATTCTATGGTAAGATGTTTTTTCTTCAGCGCTTTAAATATGTCATTCGACTCTCTCCTGGTCTGCAAGGTTTCCACTGAAAAGTCTGCTACCAGACGTGTTGGAGCTCCATTGTGTGTTATTTGTTTCTTTTCTTCTTCTGCTTTTAATCTATATTCTTGATGTTTGGGAGTTGGATTATTAAATGCCTTGAGGTAGTCATCTTTGGGTTAAATGTGCTTGGTATTCTATGACCTTCATGTACTTGGAAATTCATATCTTCCTCTAAGTTTGGGAAGTTCTCTGTTATTATCATTTTGAATAAAATTTCTCTCCTATCTCTTTCTCTACCTCCTCTTTTAGGCCAGTAACTCTTAGATATGTTCTTACAAGGCGATTTTCTAGACCTGTAGGCATGCTTCATTTTTTAAAAAATTATTTTTTCTATAGTCTCCTCTGACCATGTGTTTTATTTATTTATTTTATTTTAGTTCTGGGGTACATGCACAAGATGTGCAAGTTTGTTACATAGGTAAATGTGTGCCATGGTGATTTGCGACTCCTGTCAACCCATCACCTATATATGAAGTCCAACATAAATTAGCTATTTTTCCTCATGCTCTTCCGCCACTTGTCCCCCACAACAGACCCCAGTGTATGTTGTTCCCCTCTGTGTGCATGTGTTCTCATTGTTCAACTCCCAGTTATAAGTGAGTTATAAGTGTTATTGCCTAGGTTTTCTTCTAGGGTTTTTATAATTTTGAGTTTTACATCTAAGTCTATAATACATCTTGATTTAATTTTTGTATAAGGGGTAAGGAAGGGGTCCAATTTCAATTTTCTGCATATGGC